>NC_000004.12:91951684-92254714 GCF_000001405.40 Homo sapiens | reverse complement strand
ACAGAACTCTGATCTCTATGGACCTGAGCCCTAGGGAGTGGGGTGGATGTGGTCTCTGAGGACCAACAGACTTAGTCTTTCCCCCTGCTAGTTCTGAGGAATCCAGGCAGCCCAGACCAGTGGGTTTCCCCCAAGTGCAGAACACCCCCTCCACAAAGGGACAGCCAGAGTGCTTTGTTAAGTGGGTCCCAGATCCTGTGCCCCTGACGGGTGAGATACCCCAACAGGAGTCACCAGACACTTTATACAGGAGCATTCCTGCTGACATCAGGTTGGTGCTCCTCAAAGACCTCAGAGGAAGAAGCAGCCACCACCTTTGCTGTTCTTCAGCCTCTTCAAGTGACATCTACAGGTGCGGGAGGGACCCAGGTGAATAGGGCCTGAAGTGAACCATCAGCAAATCACAGCAGCCCTACAAAAGAGTAGCCTGACTGTTAAAAGGAAAACAAACACACAGAAAGCTACAACAACAGCATTAACAAAAATGTCCCCACAAAAACCCCATCCGAAGATCAGCAGCCTCAAAGACCAAGACAATGGGGAAAATGTCTCCAGCACATATCAAAGTTCTTCATGGCAGCCACTCTCGTCACAGGCCTGGAAGACTAGGAGGAAAAAGTGGTTTTGTGGGTTGGGCCCAGGGTCCCCATGCTATGTGCAGCCTAGGGACTTGGTGCCCTGTGTCCCAGCCACTCCAGTCATGGCTGAAAGGGGCCAATCTAGAGCTCAGGCTGTGGCTTCAGAGAGTGCAAGCCTCAAGCCTTGGCAGTGTCCACTTGATATTGAGCTTGCCAGTAAACAGAAGTCAAGAATTGGGGTTTGGGAACCTCCTTCTATATTTCAGAAGATGTATGGAAATGCCTGGATGTCCAGGCAGAATTTGCTGGAGGGGTGGGGCTCTGGTGGAGAACTACTGCTATTGCAGTGCAGAAGGGAAATGTGGGGTCAGAGCCCCTACACAGAGTCCATACTGGGGCACCTCCTGGTGGAGCTGTGAGAAGAGGGCCACCATCCTCCAGACCCGAGAATGGTAGAGCCACTGACAGCTTGCACTGTGCATCTGGAAAAGATGTGGACACTCAATGCCAGTCTGTGAAAGCAGCCAGAAGGGAGGCTGTACCCTGCAAAGCCACAGGGACAGAGCTATCCCAGACCATGGGAATCCACCTCTTGCATCGGCATCATCTGGATTTGAGACATGGAATCAAGTAGATCACTTTGGAACTTTAAGATTTGAGTGCCCTGCTGGATTTTTTACTTGCATGGGGCTGTAACTCTTTAGTTCTGGCCAACTTCTCCCATTTGGAATGGCTGTATTTACCCAATGCCTGTACCCCTATTGTATCTAGGAAGTAACTAACCTGCCTGTGATTTTACAGGCTCATAGATGGAAGGGACTTGCCTTATCTAGGATGAGACTTTGGACTGTGGACTTTTGAGTTAATGCTGAAATGAGTTAAAACTTTGGGGGACTGTTGGGAAGACATGATTGGTTTTGAAATGTGAGTACATGAGATTTGGAAGGGGACAGGGGAGGAATGATATGGTTTGGCTGTGTCCCCACCCAGATCTCATCTTGAATTCCCACATGTTGTGGGAGGACCGGGTGGGAGGTAATTGAATCATGGGGACAAGTCTTTCCCATGCTATACTCACGATAGTGAATAAGTCTCGTGATCTGATGGCTTTAAAAATGGGAGTCTCCCTGCACAACTCTCTCATCACTTGCTGTCATCTACATAAGATATGACTTGCCCCTCCTTGCCTTCTGCCATGATTGTGGGACCTCCTCAGCCATGTAGAACTGTAAGTCCAATAAACTTCTTTCTTTTGTAAGTTGCCCAGTCTCATGTATATCTTTATTAGCAGTGTGAAAACAGACTAATACAAATCACCTCTATGCAAATAAACTAGAAAATTTAGAAGAAATGGATAAATTCCTGTACACATACATCCTTTCAAGACTAAACCACAAAAAAGTCAAATTTTTGAATAGACCAATAACAAGTTCTCAAATTGAGGCAGTAATAAATAGCCTACCAATAAAAAAAAGCCCAGGACCAGAGAGATTTACAGCTGAATTCTACCAGAGGTACAAAGAGGAACTGGTACCATTCCTTTTGAAACTATTCCAAACAATTGGAAAGGAGGGACTTCTTCCTTACTCATTTTATGAGGCCAGCATCATCCTGATACCAAAACTTGGTGGAGATTCAGCAAAAAAAGAAATCCTCAGGCCAGGCTTCCTGATGATGAACATAAATGCAAAAATCCTCAATGAAATACTGACAAACCAAATTCAGCAGCACATCAGAAAGCTTATTCACCATGAACAAGTAGGCTTCATCCCTGGGATACAAGGCTGGCTGAAAATACACAAATCAATAAATATAATTTATCACATAAACAGAACTAAAGACAAAAACCACATGATTATCTCAATAAAAACAGAAAAAGCTTTGATAAAATTCAACATCCCTTCATGTTAAAAACTCTCAATGAACTAGGTGTTGATGGAACATATCTCAAAATATAACAGCCAGTTATGACAAACACACAGCCAACATCATACTGAATGGGCAACAGCTGGAAGCATTCCCCTTGAAAACCAGCACAAGATAAGGATGCCCTCTGTCACCACTGTAATTCAAAATAGTATTAGAAGTTTAGGCCAGGGCAAGATAAAGAAATAAAGGATATTCAAATAAGAAGAGAGGAAATGAAACTGTCTCTCTTTGCAGACAACACAATTCTATATCTAGAAAACCCATTGTCTAAGTCCAAAAGCTCCTTAAGCTATAAGCAACTTCAGCAGTGTCTCAGGATACAAAATCAACATGCAAAAACCACAAGCATTCCTATACATCAACAATAGACAAGCAGATAACCAAATCATGAATGAACTCCCATTCACAAATGCTACAAAGAGAATAAAATATCTAGTAATACAGCTAACAAGGGATGTGACGGACCTCTTCAAGGAGAACTACAAACAACTTCTTAAGGACATAAGAGAGGACACAAATGGAAAAACATTCCACGCTCGTGGATAGGAAGAACAAATATTGTGAAAAATGGCCATACTGCCCAAAGTAATTTATAGATTCAATGCTATTCCCACTAAACTACCATTGACATTGTTCACAGTATTGGAAAAAAAAAACTACTTTAAAATTCATATGGAACCATAAAAGAGCCCATACAGCCAAAACAATCCTATGCAAAAAGAACAAAGCTGGAGGCATCATGCTATCTGACTTCAAACTATACTGTAAGGCTACAGTAACCAAAACAGCATGGTACTGGTACAAAACCAGACACATAGACCAATGGAACAGAATAAAGATCTCAGAAGTAAGCTCAAACATCTGCAACCATCTGATTTTTGAGAAACCTGACAAAAACAAGCAGTGAGGAAAGGATTCCCTATTTAATAAATATTTCTGGTAAAAATGGCTAGACACATGCAGAAAATTGAAATTGGATCCCTTCCTTACACTTTATACAAATATTAACTCAAGATGGATTAAAGGCTTAAATGTAAAACCCAAACTATAAAAACCATAGAAGAAAATCTAAGCAATACCATTGAGGACATAGTCACAGGCAAAGATTTCATGACAAAAGCCTCAAAAGCAATGGCACCAAAAGCTAAAATTAACAAATGGCACCTAGTTACACTAAAGAGCTTCTGCACAGCAGAAGAAACTATCATCAGAGTGAACAGACAACTTACAGAATGGGAGAAAATTTTTGCAATCTTTCCATTCGACAAAGGTCTAATATCCAGAATCTACAAGGAACTTAAACAAATTTATAAGAAAAGAAAACCCATAAAAAAGTGGGCAAAGGACACGAATAGACACTTCTCAAAAGAAGACATTCATGTGGCCAACAAACATGAAAAAAGAGCTCAACATCACTGATCATTAGAGAAATACAAATCAAAACCACAATGAGATACCATCTCATGCCAGTCAGAATGGCAATTATTAGTAAGTCAACAAACAGCAGATGCTGGTTTGGTTGTGGAGAAATAAAAACTCTTTTACACTGTTGGTGGGAATATAAATTAGTTCAACCATTGTGGAAGGCTGTGTGGCAATTCCTCAAAGATCTAGAACCAGAAATACCATTTGACCCAGCAATCCCATTACTGGGTATATACCCAAAGGAATATAAATCCTTCTATTATAAAGATACATATACTCATATGTTCATTGCAGCACTATTCACAATAGCAAAGACATGGAATCAACCCAAATGCCCATCAATTATAGACTGGATAAAAAATGTGGCATATATAACCTATGAAATACTATGCAGTCATAAAAAAATGAGACCATGTCCTTTGTAGGTACATGGTTAGAGCTGGAAGCCATTAATCTCAGCAAACTAACACAGGAACAGAAAACCAAACAGCGCATATTCTCACTTATAAGCAGAAGCTGAAAATGACAACACATGGACACAAAGAAGGAAACAACACACACTGGGGCCTGTCACAGTGGTGGTGGGAGGAAGAGCATCAGGTTAAATAGCTAATGAATGTGGGGCTTAAAACCTAGATGATGGGTTGATAGGTGCAGCAAACCACCATGGCACAACTTTACCTATGTAACAAACCTGAATGCCCTGCATGTGTATTCCAGAACTTAAAATAAAATAAAATAAAATTGAACAGAAAGAAAAAAATTTAATTATAAACAAAGTCTTCATGATATATGGAACACCATTTCTCAATATTCCAGAAGGCAAAAAGATAATGAAACAGTTTTTTAAAAATCTATGTAATAATATAATCAATGAAAATTTTCTAAGTCTACGAAAATAATTTAAACATTCAGATATTGGAAGTTCAGTCATCCATTCCCAAACAGATAGAAAGCAAAAAGTCTTCTTCATGCCACACAATAGTCCAACAGTCTAAAGTCAATGGAAAAGAGAAAATTCTAAAAACAGCAAGAACAAAGCATCTAGTCAGATATAAAGGAGCCCTCATCTGACTGACAGCAGATTTCTCAGTAGAAATCTTACAGGCCCAGAGTGAATGCGAGGATATATTCAAAGTGCTAGAGACAAAAATTTGTCACCCAAAGATACTATTCCAACAAAATTATCTTTCACAAATAGTTACACATCCCCATTTCAGAGGGTAGGAGGGAAATAGGAAATATCACCAAATCTGTGGAGAGTCAACAAATGATTACCAGGGAGAATAAATGAGTGGGGAGAACAGAGATTTGCTTGTATGTGGTTCTCTTTGGCAACTGAATGAGCCTGAGAGACTCATTATTTTGTAAAAACCAATGGACCTTATCTGGTTACATTCTTGATATTCTTTCCTACAATAGAAAATGAGACAACATGAAGAGGAAAGAAAAACCATTGTTTTTCTTGATTGATCTTTCCAGCCTTTATGTAGATAAGAGAAAAGTCTGTTCTAAGGCCTGTCAATCTCTAAGGGTAGATATCCATATTAATTTTACCAGGCAGACATATTTTGGAGTAAATTTCCTGTGCTCCTTCAATAGCAATAAATTCCTACATCAAGAAAATCCAGAAAGTTTTAAAGTAAACAATCTAACAATATACCTCCAGAAACTAGAAAAGCTACAAACCAAACCTCAAATTAGCAAAAATAATAATAATCAATATCAGAGCAGAAATAAAAAATGGAGACAAAACAGTACAAATAATCAACAAAATGAAATATTAGTTCCTCTACAAGATAAACGAACTGGTGAACCACTAACTAGACTAACCAAGAAAAGAAGAAAGAAGATGCAAATACACACAATCTGAAATGAAAAAAAAAAGAGGCATTACAAGTGATACCACAGAAATACAATACATTATCACAGATTATTATGAACAACTATATGCTAGTACACTGGAAAATCTAGAGGAAATGAGTGAATTCTGGGAATGTTACAACCTACCAAGATTGGATCAGAAAGTAATAGAAAACCTGAACAGTCCAATAACGAATAGTGAAATTGATTCAGTAATAAAATCTCACAACAAAGGAAAGTGCAGAATTGGATAGGTTCATGGTTGAATAGTACCAACTGTATAAAGAAGAACTGCTACTAATTCTCCTCAAACTTGTCCAAAATATTGAAGAGGAGAGAATCTTCTCTAACTCCTTCTATTAAGTTTGTGCAAAAATAATAGCAGTTTTTGGCATTACTTTTAAAACCGTAGTTGCTTTTGCACCAACCTAATACAAGGTCAGCATTACCTTGATATCAGAACCAGGCAATGAAACAACACAGCAGAAAACTGCAGGCCAATATCCCTGATGAACATAGATGCAAAAATCCTCAACAAAATACTAGCAAACTCAATCCAACAGCACATCAGAAAGGTAATATACCATAATCAAGTGGGTTTTACATAAGAGGTGCAAGAATAGTTCAACATACAAAAATCAATATATGTGGTGCATTACATCAACAGAATAAAGGACAAAAATATGATTATCTTAATAGATGCAGAGGAAACATTTGATAAAATCTAACACCTTCATGACAAAAAACTCAAAACTCCTGCCAAACTAGGTGGAGAAAGATGATACCTCAAAATAATAAAGGTCATAGTGAATAGGGAAAAATTGAAAGCCTTTTATTTTCAGAACTGGAATAAGACTTGGGTTCTTCTTTCACCACTCCAATTCAACATAGTACTGGAAGTACTAGCCAGAGCAATCAGAACAGAAAATGAAATAAAAGACATCCAAATTGGAAAAGATAAAACTATATTGCCACTTCGCAGATGTCAAGATCTTATATCTGGAAATATATTGCCCATCAGAATATTAAATATTAAAGAAAGGGAAACTATAGACCTGTTATGTTCCTCATAAATATTAGATGTAAAAAATATATTAAAAAGAAGTAAAATATTTAACCTATAGAGCTACACAAGGGAAATACATCATTATTAATTTGGATTCATATAAGTAATCCAAGGATGCATAGATATTCAAAAACCAATTTATTTCACCACATTAGATTAAAAACACAATATTATGCTCACTTTAACAGATGCATGTAAAGCTTTTGATCATGTGAAACTCCCTCCTTCATAAAAATTATAACAAGTTATGAATAGTAGAAACATTATTTGTAAAGGGTAACAAAAAGTCAAAAACAAAAAAATAACAAAAACTACAGAAAACATTGTAGATATCCATAAAATATTGAAAGCCTATGTAATGAGATAAAAAATGAGACAAGAGTAGTTGCTATCATTCATTTTCAACATTGTATTGAGTTTCTGACTCTGAGCAACAACTCAAGAAAGGATAATAAGGAATATATAGAAAACAAGAAAATTCAATTGTAATTATTTGCAGAAACTATGTTTACTTGGAAAAATCACAAAGAATCAACAGATAAGCTTTTTTTGTAACTAATAAGCTAATTTAGCAAGATTACCTGATAAAAGGTAATTTTTTAACTAATAAGCTAATTTAGCAAGATTACCTGATAAAAGGTCAGTGATTAATTATATATCGATAACACTTTGAAAATTAATTTCAAAAAATAATACAATTGTCTTTAGTGAAATAAATCATCAATAACCTAGGACTGTATTTACCAGGAAATTTCAAGCACTTTACACCAATCACATTACAATAAGAAATAAATGAACTAAATAAGTGGGAGGGGGTATACAATGTTTGACATAGAAGATTCAATATGATTACTATGTTGATAATTATCTCCATATATATCATATATTAAATTCATTCCAATTAGAACCTCAGCAGGACTGTTTTTGAAATTTTGAAAATTTTATGTGAAGGCTGGTCTTGGTGGTTTATGCCTGTAATCCCAGCACTTTGGGAGGCCAAGGTGGGAGGATCACTTGAGGCAAGGAGTTCAAGACCAGCCTAGGCAACAAAGTGATACCCTGTCTCTAAAACAACTTTTTAAAAATTAGCCAGGTGTTGTGGCATGTGCCTATAGTTCCAACTACTCAGGAAGCTGAGAGAGGAGGATCACTTGAGCCCAAGAGGTTAAGACTGCAGTGAGCCATGATCATGCCACTGCACTCCAGCCTGGGTGACAGAGCAAAACTCTGTCTTTAAAAGATAGATAGATAGATAAATAAATAAATAAATAAATAAATAAATAAATAAATAAAGTGGAAATGGAACTGGCCCAAAATAACAGAATTGAGGGCTCTGATCACCACATATCAAAAGATGCTAAAAGAGATAGTAAAAAGTCAGTGTATTATTGGTGGAATAATATGATATATGTTCTTGAAACAGAATAAAGAGCTCAGAAATGTCCATCTCATATTAGATCACTTGAGTAAGTATAAAGGATCCATAGAAGCACTGCAGAGAAAGAATGCACCTTTTAATATATGGGTCAACTGAATAATCATATGGTATAAAATGGATATTGACTCCTGCTTAACACCATATAAAAAATCAGTTAAAAGCATATTGTTGATTAAATGTAAAATGTAAATCAATACACCTTCTAGAAAGCACTGTCCAATAGAAATATAATGTGGCCCACACGTGCGATTGATTTTATCATACAATTTATTTAATGTCATATATACATGATATTATCATTTCAACATTGAGTCAATATAAAAAATAATGAAATATGTTACATTCTTGTTTTCAAACCAATTCTTTGAAATCTGGTGTATATTTTCCACTTACATCACTTCTCAGTTTTGAATAGCCTTATTTCAAGTGCTTAAAAATTAGCACATGTGACTAGTTGCTACTGTATTAGACAGTGCAACACTAGGAGATACGAAGAACAGTATCTTCATGATCTTGTAGAAGGCAAAGATCTTTTCAATAAACACTGAGAATATTAACTATTAACAACAAAATATTACTTTAAATTTAAGAACTTCTATCCAATAAACAAACAATTAAAAGTGAAAAGTAAATCCCTAAGTGGAAGATTTGATATATTTTGCTAAATATAATACAATATATGTTATATTTTAATTATACACACACACGAATTTCAGAGTTTCTCCACCTTGGCACTATGGACATTTTGAACCAGATGTTCTTTGTAGTTTGTAGGCTACCTTGTGTGTTTAGGATCCCAGCATCCCTGGCCCCTGCTCGTTGGATGCTCATAGCACCCTTCCAGTCCTGACAAACAAAATTATGTTTAGACATTGACAAATGTGGTCTGGGGGATAAAATCAATCACAATTGAGAACTACTGATATATAAGGAAGATGTACAAATCAATAAAATATGACAGATTCATATAATCTAATAGAAAACATGAGGAAACTATTTGAATAGGCACTTTTCAAAAAAAAGATTTTCAAATACTTCAAAAGACATAAAAATATATTGACATTCTTAGCCTAATAATTCATTTAGAAAATGCAAATTAAAACAACAATGTGATATGACTACACAACCAAAAGAATTGCTAATATATATACAATAACAAGTGGAGCAAACAGAAGTTCTCTGGAACAGCCGAAAATTTTTTAAATTGCTGGTGGGGAGCCTATTTGTACAATTACTTTGGGAAACTCTCAGCGTCTTCTAAAGCTGAACATATGATACCCAATTACCCAGCATTTCATACTTAAGTGTATTCTACCACAGATATTTGTACAAATACGTACTAACACATGAGTACAAAGATGTTTATAGCAGCATTGTGCATAATAGCAAACATTTGAAAACAAACCAAATGGATAAAAATAATGGTCAAATATTCTTACAATGGAATGCTGCCTATAGCAATGGAAATGAATGAACTACTGCTATTTGCAATACCTTGGATCAAACATAATTATAAAGTTGAGCAAATAAATCACACATAGTAAAATATACAGTGTGATTCCATTAACAAAGTACAAAGCCAGGTAAATGCAATTTATGGGAGGAGGAAACATCATATTTGGGGAGAAGAGATCAAATAGTGTCTGGAATGGATGGGGCACTGGGTGCATTTAATGGGACTGATAACTCCTCTGGGGGATGGCTATTCTGGTGTGATCACTTTCTGAAAATTCACAAAGCTGTGCACTTATAGTTTGTTCATTATTTTTATTAAAAATTTTAAATTGATTCTTCTGAATAGCATCATGTAAGAAGGAAGCACATCCTTTGTGATAAATTATAAACTGCTATGTCTAACTGATCACTCTAAATATTTATAAAAATCACTTTATAAAAAGATACACAGAGTACAAGATAGGTTTCTAGAAATTGAACAAATATCTTATTTTGAATGAGTAGACAAACAGAAGCCAATAATAGAATATGGCAGAAATATTACTCAGAAATGACCACTGATGTCTGTCTTGTTTTGTTTTGTACCTACAATCCTTGGCACCCTGGGATTTGCCCATGCAACATAGAGCTTTTGGGAATGAGAGTGGCAGGAGGCCAGGGCCACCTATGGACTAGCTTCCATATTGGGCTGCAATGGCCCTATCCCCAGAGCATGGTTTAAATTCCTGTGTGCTCCTGGGAAGTGTGTAAAGAAATGAGTTCTTAATAATGAGGATACAAATATGTAGCATCTTTAAAAAAAATTGGAGGAAACAGTGAATAATTTCAGTATCTTTAATACACTCATGTGAACTATTTGAACAGGGGAGTTATCCGTATGAAGCAGAGTTTTATTAATAAATTCCATATATATAAGGATTTTCATATGAAAACTTTTTAATCTTTTAAGATTTTTTTAATCTTCAAAAATCCAGAGTTAATGGGAAGGGAGCTTAATGCAAGATTACTTGGAAAATTACACATAATATTGACTTCCTGAAATTTAATATAAAAAATGTTGATAATGTTTTTTAATTCCTTATATAAAGGAGCAGTGATATATTTAGAACATTCACAATAAATACACGTTGAATGAGTGAGTGAATGAATGAATGATGCATAACTTCCAAAATCTACCCCCGCCCTTGGAAACGCTTCAGGGCCACAGCTCACCCATTCTTTTTGCAAGAACCAGTCCAATCTTCTAAAAGCACCTTCAGATGTGTAGGTGATAACGATCACTTCTTTTCATTTTTGTTTTATTAGATAATTGAGCAAAAACAAAAGCAAAGCACAATGAAATTGTCATGCACAGTGGGAAAAGGAAGACAGAGCAAGTATTTTAACACAACCCAATTATATTTTAAATTTTGTAATCACCAAAAAAAAAAAAAAGCACTGCAAAGGAAAGTTGGTAACTTTGAAATGGAAATGATTACTAAAATGCACTTCTAAAATCAAAGTTGAAAGAAATCCCTCTTTAGCTTAGCTAATTAGCAGTTCCTCCCTTGAGTAATGTATGTGGTGGTTTCTTTAAACCTCAATGTCACCCTTTTAAGGTGACATCACTGATAATATATAAACACTTTATCACACATCAGTGATTGTTTTAGCAATTGGCACCAAAGATAATAAGCCACAAACATTGGCATGAGTGTAAGAAGTTATGTTTTTTGAAATAAATGCTTTTAATAAAAATACCTCGTATTTGTATTGTTTGCACTTTTAAGCACTTTCATGTTTCATAAATAATTTAGTCTCTTAACCACGATGTTTAGTGACCAGGACAACTATTTCTAATTTTTATATAAGGACATAAAGAGTCAGATAAACTTTGTGTCATTCTCAAGGTGCCTCTCACAAGTAGTTTCCAAGGCAGCTGGCACTAGGAGTCAGTCTTCAAATTTCTAGTCCAGGACATTTTTTTTTCTCACAAAGCATCATCAATTCTGTTTGTTTTAATGACATAGTAGCAAACTAATGTTTTCATATGTAATTTTAAGAGAGCATTAATTTATATAAGTACGCTAGACTTCAAATGAATGATCATATACACATAATCCAAATAATTTTAATAGTAGAGGTATCATTTCATAGATTTGGATAGATAAATGCATTTAGAATTTTACGTAATTCATTACTTCAAGCTATTAAATTGGAAAAACCCTAACACCTGTTGATTACATTATCAAGCTAGCTTGGAACCTGGGTGAAACCCTATCAATGGGCAGGTAAAACACAGGAAATCCTGAAGCTTTTTAAGTGTTCAGGGGCAAAAAGGCAGGTATGAGAGACAGACAAGTTGTGAGGGGTCCATCATCCCTTTGAACACATCCTAAAAGCTGGAGTCATAAGGACTACTTCCATTTGCACTGTTATGGCTATACAGAACTTGTGGGGACTTCATTTATTAATCTAATTTTTTTTTACCTGCTATGGGTCATGCACCATGCCCAGTGATGGGAGCACATAGAATAAGGTAGAGTGTAGCCCTCAATTAGCTCATAATGTCCAGGTGGAAAGAAATATGTAAAGTCCAATATTTACAGTTTAATATAACAAATAATCTTACAGAGGTATATAAACATGCCATGGAAACCAGGAGATTAATTTTGCAGCTAAGTAATGGAGATGCATAGGTCTTAACAAGTAGATAGCATTAGAGCAAAGCCTGTAGGATGAATATATCTCCAGGAACAGAAGACAAAAGAAGATATTCTAGACAGAGAGAATTACTTATATATTGGCACAGCTTGGGGTATTCTCCAAAATAGTGGGAAATTTTGTATGGCTGGTGCTTAGCCTATGCTCATGACACAAAAGTAGCAGAATATTGGCTTGGATATATAAGTTATTGTAAAATTCCATTTACAAAATGCTAAAGAATGGAGACTTTGTCTGTAGTTGAAGGAAAACATTAAGAGAATTTGGGAGAGTTGCAAGATAAGAATTATGTTTTAGATAAACACCTAGAGGCAAAATAGAGGATGCTCTGAAAAGTAAGATGAAATCTTACTGTTAGATTGTCAAATTATATAGTATAAAGGCAAAATAAATTATTTTAAGTTTCATTTCAGAATCAAATGGTGATCCTCCATCTCAAGATCAGCAAGAGCTTTAAGACTTATAGACAATCATGAATACCAACACATTACAGCATTGGGGGGGATATAGTGGTAAATAAGAGCATCTACTCTAGATTAGATATATTTCTAGATATACTCCTACTTCTATTACTTGTGAAAGTGAATTAAATTCTCCGTGCATGAATTCTTGTATGTAAAATGGGGAAAATTGTATTTTCTCCAAACGGCTGTTTTGAAGATTAAATGCGTTATTACATGTGAAATGCTTAGATAATTACCAGGCACTTGGTTCTCAATAATTCTAGCTGTAATTATTCCACTAGAACAGTGGTTTATGCCTGGGGCAATTTTATTCCACAGGGGACGCTTGGTAATGTCTGGAGACATTTTATTTTAGATTGCCACAACTGGGAGGGAGAGGTGCTACTATATATTCAAGATCCAAATATGATACTGAGTAAAAACGTAGAAGAGTTCCCAATACATTTTATCAGTAGCAGTACTTGCTGGAAGCACCAGAATTTTTATTTATTTATTTATTTATTTATTTATTTATTTATTTTTTATCAGAATGTAGGAAGCTTGTGGAATCTCCAGGAGATCCAGAGACCTGGGTGTGGTTGTATCAGTGCCAAGAACAAAGCAACAAGTTATGATGCATTCAGGAAAAGCAATTTCCAACAAAACAAAGGACTGCTGCTTCCAACTGTTGCTTGGCATCTCTAACACTAGGCACCAACACCCAGGCACTTCCCTGCAGATGTCTCAGAAGAACCAGTTAGTTGCTTTTGCCCCTTGCTTGGTAAATTTGATTTCTTCCACATGGCCACCACTTACAGATGCTTTCTTCCTTCCCCAAGCCTGATGTGTGAATAAATCTTACGGATAGAAGGGAGGTACCAATAAAGCTCTACCTGCAAGAGAATCTTAGAAATTAGATTTTGAGCTAATCAGATTGGTCTCCAATCTAATCTGTTTATCCTCCATTACGGACTGAAGTAATCTCAAGTTACTTTGGTGCTCAGCTAATATCCTAAATGAAGAATACCTTTATTGTGACCCAAAACTTCTCTCTTTAGGTGTGTGATAACCCTATGAGTCCTGCCTGCACTTTTCTATTTACTTTTATTAATACGCCAGGCAGGTTTTAGGGCACACCTCATGCAATACATACCTTAATAATCAGGATTAATCATTCCACTCATCAGACCAAACATCTGAATTTCCTGTTCATTCAGACACAGCAGGGGCTTCACTGTTGAGTAAAGCATGTCTTATGAGTTGACTAACATCTCCCAAGAAAGATATATTTAGAGTTCAAACCCCAAGTACCTCCAAATGTAATCTTATTTGTAAATAGAGTCTTTTCAGAGGTAATCAAGTTAAAATTATGCGGTTAGAATGAGTCCAACTCCAATATGATCTCTGTCTTTTTAAAAAGGTGAAATTTATTATTTCATTTTATTATTTTATTATTATTTTTTTTAGAGACAGAATCTCACTTTGTCACCCAGGCTGGAGTGCTGTGACACGATCTCAGCTCACTGCAACCTCCACCTCCTGGGTTCAAGTGATTCGCCTGCCTCAGCCACCCAAGAAGCTGGAATTACAGGCATCCACCACATGCCCAGCTAACTTTTGTATTTTTAGTACAGAAGAAGTTTTGCCATGTTGGCCAGGGTGGTCTTGAGCTCCTGACCTCAAGGGATCTGATTGTCTTGGCCTCCCAAAGTGCTGGGATTACAGGTGTGAGCCACTGAGCCCAGCCTAAAAAGGTGAAATTTTGACACAGAGAAAAGTCAATGTGAAATCACACAGGGACAAGATTATCATGTGACTACAATGATGCATCTACAAGTCAAAAGAACATCAGGGATCACCAGAGAACATCAGAAGGTAGAAGATGCAAAAATGAGAATTCCCACCTAGAAGAGTTAGAGAGAGCATGAACCTCCTGACTCCTTCATTCGGATTTCTACTGTCCAGTCCTGTGAGAAAACAAATTTTTGTTGCTTTAAGTCCCCCAATTTCTAGCACTTTGTTATGGTAATCTTAGGAAACCAATATAGCATTCTTTCCTCATGGTCCAAGGCCACTGAATCAACAAAGCATATAATTGTTACAGGACCAATAGGTTCATGTGCAGTAAGAGACAAATACACAGAGACAGCAGGGTTTGCAAGAGAGAAGGAGTTTAATGGTCACAGGGTGCCAAGCAAGGAGATGAGGGGAGATTCTTAAATCCATCTCCTGGAGTTCAGGGGTGGAGTTTATAAGGGGATCATGGAAGGCAAGGGACTAGAAAATTGGGGTCATGGATTCACTGGAGTAAGAGAGATGAAATCATCCGGAAACAACATTCTTTGGTGGGTCAGCTTCTTGTGAGGTTCATCAGACCAGTTGACATCAGTAGTTTCATTGGAAAGAATATATCAAAGAGAAAACTTAATGTTTCATAATGTTCACATTGTTATCTATAGAGCGGTTAAGGGAAACTAATCTAGGGTCTATGTGATTTTAGTACAATAGGCACCAAGCAACAATGAGGAAGCAGGTAGAGAGCAAGCTGACCTAATGATCAGTGTGGAATGTGCTACAAGCTTTATTTTTGTTTCTCTCACACCCTTCTTCCTTGATTAATTATATAAAGTTTATAGAGACTATTTTATAATCATGAGGATGCAAAACATTTGTCTCAGACTTGTAAATAAAAGCAGTGTTCTTCTATAGAATGGTAGGTAGGTGACCAATTACAGTGTTTAAGAAGTGTGATGAAGTAAGTAGAGACTACTCTTTTGAGAAATCTGGTAGCTACATGAGGGCTGGAGCTTGGGTCTCATTTATTGGTACATCTTCATAGGCTATAACAATGCCTGCAATTGGGAGATACTCAATACTTACGTTGAATTAAAAGTTGGCAAATAGAAAATGCTAAGACAGGTTTTATTTTAATATTAGGAGTGGTTGAAAGTTGGGTGTATTTATTCATGAAAGAAAGGAACCTATGTAGAGAAAGAAATTATACTTGCAAATGACAAAATATAATTAACAAGCCAAGTCGGGGTATAGACAAAAGCAGCTAGAAGCAAAAGCCAAGTAGACTAGTTAGCTTCAGAAATGTATCAGGGTATTTCTTCTCTGACACATGAGGGAAAGAAGCATGAGCAGGTGAAATACAGATATAATTCTGAAGGCAGAAAGATGAAAGTTTGGAGAGTTCATACAGATTGGCTTGTAACTTCCTGGTAAAGTAGTGAGCTCTCAGCCTGCCAAAAAGAAGTGGGCAGGGTGGGGGCACAGGGCTTGAGGAATATGGGCAAGATTTGGAATAGACACTAAGAGAAATTAAAAAGGTTGTTGATTAGTATTAAGTAAAAGGATTGCCAAACAGAATTGAGGGGCCAGCAGAGGTTAAAAATTAAACTTGTGTTGGAGACGATAAGCTCAGTTATGGGATTTTCCTTCATAGCAATTGGCAAAGTAAGAGCAAATGCAGAGAAAATGGATTTTCAGGTTGGAGACTGGTGAGACAGGTGAGGCGGATAGTCAACGGGGTGATGAATGAGAAGGTGCTACTAACAGTATATTTGAGATGATGGATGATGGGGTCCAGTGTGAGTAACGAGGGGAGGTCTGCCAGGAGGGACTGATGAAGTTAGAGAACAAAGAGGGGTTGAGTGACCAGAGGTTCAGTGAGGTGAAACAGTAGGTTTATTGGGAGTAAAGAATTAAGAGAGGGGAAAGAGTCAAAGGTTGTGGCTAGATGGAGAATTTCAGTGTTCCAATTTCTTAAGTGTAGCATTTATCATTATCAGAAAACCTTTGCTAAAAGGGAAATGAGCACACTGTCCCACATTTCTAGGTCAGCACTTCTATTCCTATTGCTCACCTTCATGAAAAAAAAAAAAAAAACAAAAAAAAAACAGAAGTACCAGATATGAATTGGGTTAAGAAGCAGAATAGTTTACTAAATAAAGTTCAATATTAGTGGAAAAGTAAAAGAAAAGTCACTTAAAACTAATCTCCCCTTGTGATTAGAAGCTGAGAACTTTGTACACTAGCTGTCAAACTTTCCCTCTCCTGCCCTCTTTTCACCCTTCCAAAATACCAGCTGTTCTTTTGGCCTGTTTTTCATAATGCATTTGATTTAAAAAAAAAATCTCCATGTATTTTCAGATATAGGGTGTTTGACCTACCCTAGAACAGAACAATAATTGAACTCTTTCCCCTGAATCTCTGTAAACTTCACACAAATAGGTTTTCCAGACTGATCTTGGTTCCTAATATATATTTTTTGGTTCTTATAGTTTGGAATATGCTGTCTGTTAGTCAGTGTTACCAAGTAAATGATGGCTTTCTATAAATGAACAAATTTCTAAATTCCAAAAGCAAATGATATAGTTGAACAAGTTTAAAATACAATTTGTTAGGAAGTTCTACTAAGCAAAACTTAACAAAAAATTGGAGTTTTAAAACTCCTAATAAATAGCATTATGCTTGGAATATAATTAGGGTGATCAAAAGTACTAATTCTATTTTGAGCTTATAATTTCTAACCAAACTGAAAATTTTAGAACTTATCGCCACAAAGATAATAATTTAGTAAATCAGATTCTAGTAGAAACTTAGACCTGAGAGTATTAAAATGGCCATATAATGACTGGCTACATTTGCAGAATAAGCTTATTTACCCAGTGGTGGCTAATGCCAGAAACAGTTAAATTCAATCTGCATATCTCAGCTAGTGATGTAACACTGGAAAAAAAGGGTAATTGCCCAGTTGAATCAGGCTGAAACTGCTCCTTTGATCTTCTGTATATTTCTGTTCTGCAAAGTTTAAGAAGTATTGAGGATAATTTGTGAAAACCCAAAAGAGAACAGAAAGGGTTCAAAAAATGGAGAAAGATAAGTGAAACAGAAATACAAAATTAACTTATGTATTCCAGAAAAGAGCAGAGTGAAGTGAGCCATGTTCACAACCTATAAATAATACCTCCTGGGTAACAACATAATGAAAGAAGGGAATTATTCATAGTCTCAGAAGACACGAGGACAAAGAGCAAAGACTGGAAGCTAAAGAAAGCAAAATATAGGTTAGATATTAGGAGCACCATACGAAAAGTGGCTTTCTCCTGTTAGCACAATGTGAATAAAATACTTTTGTACTATAACATAATTATATGAGAGATTGAACAGTCTTTCAGAAAATATACATCCTTGTTTAACTGGTAAATTTATTCACATTTCTGAAACCACTTTAATCTGAAACCACTTTAATCTGAAAATTAACCAGTATGACAATTTCCACTTGCAAGTGAAAAAAAATAAACACACAGACAAATCACCTAAATAAATGGAAAAATATAGGCATTTTCGAGAGACATATCAGCAAAAAATTTAACCTTATCAAAAACATAGTAGTAAGCACAGATTTACTACTATGTAAAAACTACAAGCAGACACTTTGAAAGATGTTCAAGGAAAATTATTGAACTGTGCTATACACCATACAAGGTAGACAAGGTACAATAAAATTTAATTAGTTGTTTTAAAAGAGGGATACTTTCTGGAATAAAACTCAGGGAAAGTTTAGCAAATGGAGAGAAAGTATAACACTGAAGTTAAGAGAGTAGATTTGGAGTCGGAGGGACCTAGGTTTGAATCCCTACTCCAGCACCTGCTATGTATCCTTGGATATAACTTCCCTGTATCCCAATACCCTTTCTATAAAATGAGAACACATAAACTGGAGGGTTCGTGTGACTATTAAATTCCATAAGATAATAAGTGCAAAGTGCTCCACACAGTAGCTGATAGTGTGCAATGAACTGTCATCTTTGAAATGAGTGTGCTGGGAAATGGTGCTTAGAGGGAGAGGAGTTATAAGCAGTGAACACACATGGTAATGTGATCAGCCACCAGAACAAACTCCCTTTTTTCCCTCAGCACTTTCCGTTTCCTCTTCCCTTAGCCATTCATTTGCATTCTGGAGGCAAATCTAATTGTTAAGTGGGAACCATCTGTTTGGCAGAAAATCTTTCTCAATGGCAAAATCCATCAGAACCCCATAAAAATCTTTCTACTAAGTAAAGCAAAATAAAAAGTAAAATTTCACTTAGGAGAATGTGCTTGTGTTAATCACATTTAATTTTGATAAGATATGGCTTGATAGTCTCTACTAAAACAGTATAAAGTTTACTAATCAGTCAATCTAGGAACTAAAGTTTGAAATAATTAGCAAAATAATAGAGGTCAATTTAGAGCTATGGAATATTTTCCTCAGGTAAGGCAGAGGTAACTATAGATTCGTGATCTCATAGCAATAAGAAAACATTCATAGCAAGCATCACTTAAAGGTACATCTAACTGAAATAAGTGGCTGAGACCAGGATCAAACGTTTTTTGAATCTGCAGTGGCGCCTTAATTATTTGCTTGAATTACTTTTCTGTAGTCATTATCATCCTTCTTACTTACCAGAAACAAGCCTCATGACTGGGTAGACAACAAATTGCTTTAAAATTTTCTTAAAATGTATTACTTCCACAAAAAAAGAGTAGAATTTCAGGTCTAAAAATTGTATTTAGTGGACCACATCAATGAATGCTTAAATTTATCCTTTTATTAATTATTCATTTAAAACGTTGGCACTGATGCCAACATTTTAAATGCTTAAAAGGTGTTCAATGCTTAAAAAGTGTTTTTTGAAATATATATCAAAGTAGAAAATAGCCAAGAAAGATATAAATAAGGAAAGTAATAGAAAGCCCATAGTTGTATAGGTTGTATATTTATGACTATGTCATAAGAAAAATATGCTTAAACCAGATGCAAGCAGCACAAACCACAAGAAGAAAAATAGGTGGATTTCATTATAACAAAGTTAGTAGTTTGTATTTCACAGAAGAGGCACTAGATACAGTGACCAGATACAAAGATCTCCTGCAAATCAATAAAATAAGACAGGAAATCACTAACGATGGGCATATTATTTGACAAATAATTCATAGACTGGAAAAACAAATAGCTAGGAAGTACCTTAGGAGATGCGCTAGATTAAAGGAAAAAATACCACTTACCCCAATATAATGGCTAATAATTGAATAAGGAGTAAACATAAGTGTTATTAGACATGTAGAAACCCTAGTGAATGAGACTCTGGAATAAAGGAGGCATTGTAGAGCTATCTGGCAACTCTCAGTTATATTAAATGTATAAAGTCCACATTAAGTGTTTGAAATTCCTGTGGCTATGCAGTTGAATGGTTATGCAATTTCACTTCTTGGAAAATATCCCAGAGGTTTCCTCAGATAACATGACAGGACATTCAAGAAGACTTCGTCACAGCTTTGCGGTAGTAGGCAATTGTATGCAATATATGTACATTTCAGGGGATCACTATGTAAGGAAGAGAAGTAAGTGGCTGGTGAGACAAACAGAAAAATGAATGCCATAAAAGCAGCACTGAGTAGAAAAAAGACAGAAATAAATAGATAAAAGTCTATAGCACAATAAAATTTACTCAAACAGAAATACATGCATGAAAAACAATTCTATGTACCTTACATTTGTGCAATAATACAGATAATTCAAAGGATTTAAGACAAATAAATTAGAATTATTGGCTTTATGGTTAATGGGAGGAGGACAAGGATGGGAAAAAGAAGAGAGAAAGGGGGCAAATAATAAATATGAAAGAGAGACTTGCATGGCCAAGTGACAGTAAGTGAGGAAAATTATTAACTCAAGTTTCAGCATCTGTGGCTAAAAGGAACAAAAAATATAAAAGAAAAACAATAAGGAAAGAGAAAAATCATAAACAATACTCACTAAAATTTGTTTTGCCATTTGACAGTTATTCAATGTAGAGTTTCATTATAATGGTCTTTAGTGTAGCAAAATGTGCCAGCCTTGTCAATTGTAGGAAATGGAAAAATGCTCAAACCAGTTTGAGACCATAAAATGTATATTGAACACTTTTTGGATATCTTCCCAACTCTCAATGACACCTTTTCTCTGACAACTGCCATCTCCCCCTGTCCCTCCCCTCCACCCTATTTGTCTTATTAACTGGAGTGAGATTCTGGCAGCCAAACCATACCTAGGTGATTCAATAGGATTCTCTCTTCCATGAATTGGGGATTAGGATCCGGAGACAAGGACAATGTCTACTTGCTCAGGAATTGACAAGATGTGACCTGGGGAATGTGTCAAGGGTTGTAAAAAAAATTAATATTTTTGGTCACCCTAATCATTTTCCAGGCACATTGCTCTTTCCTGGATAAATAACTCCAAGTTTGATTACTTTTTGCTTAGTAGAATTTTTTTTTTTTTTTTAGCAAACTCTACTTTTCAACTTGTTCAACTATACGAAGTAGGGAAGGTGCAGAGGTGCAGACAGGGAAAGTAGGAATGAGAGTACTGCCTCGGTTCCTGATCCCGAGTGACATGACCAGTTTCTCCCATATATTTCAGTAATCTTATGGTAAACTGCCTATTTTAAAAAAAAGCCTTTCTTAACCAGATTGCATTGATTTCTGTAATTTTCAACCGAATGAGTTTTGAGTAAGTATGCCATAGGCATCCAGTACTCATCAATATCCTATCTTATTTTCTCAAATCTTCAACACTATGATCTCTAAGCCCTTAAGTCTAAATATCCTGCTCTGGAATTTGGCTTGGGTTTTGATCTTATATGTTCAATTGTTTCCATGGCAGTTTTGGAAGCATATGACTATTTATTTAAGTGAGAGAAAACAAATCCAAGTGCCTGCTTCAGAGGAAAAAATAAAAAACTGAGTAGATGTATTGGTTCATTGAATTCAAAGTCCAAGAATAGATCTGGGTTCAAGAACAGATAAATCTGAGTGCTGAAATGCCCTCATCAGTGAGGTGGCACTTTTTCCTGTGGGGTCTGACTTACTGTGTATGGGTATCTTTCCTAGGCAGCCTGTGGTGGCAAAGATGGCCAGAGCAACTATGTTATTATACAGTGAGCAACATCAGCAATTGCCTCTTTCATAATTACTGCAATGACTCTCAGTGGGTTGATATGTGTCAAGTGACTACTCCTGAACCAATTGTAGTGACTCAGATTGGCTGGTACAGGCCTTAGGGCTACCCCTGGAGCCAGAGAGTGGTTGGGAATAGCTCCATGCAAAACACATATACTCAGAAAGGAGGAAGGATGGTTTCTCTAAGGAAAATCAGAATGTGCTACAACAAAAGGGAGTCAATGGATGCTGGACCAACAAACACTATGCTAACTAAAATTGATCATTTTTATATCTCACCTAATAAGGTTTTATAATTTCACATTGAGGAAATCTCTTCTCAGTCATCACAGAAAGTAATGAAACCTGATTCAAACTTTAAATTTTTAATGGACTGTATAAATACATCACGAAAATTTTCCATGACCTCTCACATAATTACCTTACCAAGGGAAGAAAATAAAATAATAGTATGTGGAGCAGTAGAGGCAGTTGTTCTTGCTATTTCAAGGAATTATGGGGAATTAAAAAAAAAACCTTGAAAAATATGATTCCTTTTGAGACCTCTCAATTGAACATTTAAATAGCCTTGTAAATAATAAGAAAAGACTAACACTTTAAACTTTTTTTTCCCCATGGGTAAAACAACAATTTTCGGCTTTATTGTGGCTCTTAACTCTAAGCGGGTATCAGAATCTCCTGA
Source organism: Homo sapiens (assembly GCF_000001405.40). Taxonomy (NCBI): domain Eukaryota; kingdom Metazoa; phylum Chordata; class Mammalia; order Primates; family Hominidae; genus Homo; species Homo sapiens. Next base: position 92,232,141 of record NC_000004.12, on the reverse strand, counting down.
CCAGCTTTCACAAAGTGTACCTGTTTGGGCTTCATCATCATCAACCTTTAAAGAGTTTTTCATTACACTTACATTTTATAGCATCAAAAAAATTGCCCTAAACTTAGAAGCAGACAAACAAAATTACTGGATTTTTTTGAATATATGCTTAGTTTAAATTTCATTTTATTTTCTTTTTCAAATATCTTAAGACTACATGAGATTAGCCCTTAATACAATTGTTAAGTGCACAGTAGAGTACCATTAAATATAGGCCCTATGTTGTCTAGATCACTAGAATTTATTCATCTTGCACAACTAAAATATTATATCCATTGAACAAGGAAAAGAAGTTAACTTGTAGACTTTTTAACATGAAAATGCAAGTAATTTCTGTGTAATAGGAAAAAAACCTCAAAGATTGCAAAGATCAGTGTCACTGTTGAACTTGAATCATGTTTGTTTTTCTAACATTGCCTATAAATACCTACCCTTTCAAATGCTCTTTGGTTTTTTTACAAGTTACTAGTTATTTTATTAGTTAGTACATTAAATAAAACTTTTGACGCATGTTCTTTTTATATTTGTATGGCAGTCATGATCATTTTAGCTTTTTGAAAACTATAGCTGAAAAAAGAACTTTGCCATTTACTGATTACTATTTTTTTTACAGATTTTCACTCTCATAAAGAACTTTCAAATTTCTCAAATATTTTTTGTCTGCTTAACTAATTTAGAATAATTGATCATCAATATATTTTCCCATAATTTTAAGACTTAAAGGTAAATAATATAATAACGTTCTTTTTTTTCCTTTAATATAAAAAAATTGGATTAAATTCGGGTCATGTAGGCCAGATACTTTAAAAACTCACTCATGCATTTGAGAAGACAAAAATTAAATGTCTTGTTGGCTTCAAATTCCTGCAATAGCAAAACTTTTAAAGTAAAAATTAACATTTCCTCCAAAATATTTGAAGACGGAGATACAGAAAACTATGCTACCACATTTAAATACTGTTCTTGTGTTCACGTCCATGTGTGTGAAAAAAAGCTGAAATAGAAGAGCAAATGCTATATGCCACCTGCACTTCTAGATAAGAGAAAATTTCATTTCCTAAAGAAATGCACTTATGTTTGAGTACATAAAAACAAAGGTTATTTTTGAACTTTTAGAATTACATTTCATAGATGGTTTACTATCTTCTTAAACATTGCATTTTTGACTCATCTGCCCCTTTAGAGGGACTCTTTCCTTCCTACAAGCAGTTTCTTTTACCATAATATTGCCATCCATTAGTACAAAGCAACCACACATAATGTGGTCATACAAAATTCTTGTTGGCATTTTTGAATTTTGATTTACTTTATTTTGTTTTCTTTTTCCCTTGTACTTAACTTCTCATTTCTTACAATACCTTTTCATCCTATTCTCTCTACACCTTGTTCCATATTAGACTGTGTTTGCTCAATTTTTTTTTTAGATTTTTGTTTTTTATACTATTTAGTATGTTATGGGAAAATTCTACAAATTAATTTTATGCCATACAGCTATGGTTGGGAGTCTTATGCTTTGTGCATGTAAGATTGGAGTTGAACCACTCTATACATAAATGTGGAAAAATCTCAAATACAATTTTGAAGGAATGAACCCATAAAAAGTGGAATGTCTTGTTATTATGCCTATCTCAGTTCTCTGTAGGATGCTTAAAACATTTTTGATAAACTGAATCAAATAGAAATTATATGTTATTAAGAAGAAGATATTTTTAAGTCATTTTCCTTAAAATTTCCCTATCTAGAGAATATATCTCTGTATTTGCTTTTATTTGTTACTTCTATGCAATGAGGATAATTTAGATTTTCTGTTTGACTCTCTACATAGCATTACAAATGTTACAAATAAAACTAAATTTGTAACTATACAAGCTTCTACCCTAGAATTTGTTATGCTTTGCTTTAATTACTTTTTGATAGATCCAAAGAGAAGTTTATTTAATTGAAATTAGCTGCTATTCCTCACTAAATGAATGTAAGAACAAAAATGTGACTCATAGATAAATTTTATAAATTGAATGACAACTGTTAATTTTTAATTTTTTCATTTCTTCATCTTCTCTTCATTATCCTTTGTCTTTTCTCCTTTTGTTCTTCTGAATGACAATGTCCTAATCCTGCTTAGCATTTAGCATAAAATTTAAATGCATATAAGGAATGTTTAATATATTTAAAACTATGTCTTAAATTCAAATAAATGCTTACTAATTACTGATAATTGGCATAAACAGGGCATTGGGCCTCTTTCTTGCTTTTCTCTTTTTATTATATTGACTTGGAACAGTGCAACCTGTTAAGATGTTAGTGGGTTAACTTACTGTGTACTATGTAGATTACTCCTAGAAAGAGATTTAAAGCATCTTGTTTATTACTACTGGATTACAGAGATAGATGCAGCTGCTAATTTATTAGCACTTTGACATGTGCAATAACTTAAAACAAGTTTAGTCTAAAGATTTTCTTACACAAATGCACAAGAAAGGACTGTTTTATTCAGCAGAATTTGTATAGAGATGATATTCATGTGTGAACGAGGCAGCCACCAAAATAGCAAACTTTGAATTTCTGCTTGTAATAACATTTTCATTCTCTTTCATCCCACAATTTTCACTTCATTCTCTTCTTTTCTTTCTACTTTTATTTTTGGTTCGGGGCTACATGTGCAGGTTTGTTACATGGGTAAACTGCGTGTTGCTGAGGCTTGGTGTACAAATGATTCTGTCACCAATATAGTAAGCATAGTACTCCATAGGTAACCTCCAACCCATGCCCCCCTCCCACCTTCCCCCCTCAAGCAGTCCTAGTGTCTATTGTTTTGTTCCCATTTTTATGTCCATGTGTATTCAATATTTAGCTCCCACTTATAAGTGAGAACATGAAGTATTTGATTTTCTGTTCCTGCGTTAGTTCACTTAGGATAATGGCCTCCAGCTACATCCATGGTGTTGCAAAGAACATGACTTTATTATTTTTCATGGCTATGCAGTATTCCATGGTGTATACATACCACATTTTCTCTTTTCAGTCCACCATTGGTGGGTATCTTGGTTGATTCCATGTCTTTGCTATTGTGAATGGTGCTGTGATGAGAATAAAAGTGCATATGTCTTTTTGATAGAAAGTTCCAAATGAAAATTTCCCTGTATGATATTTGTACTAGAAGATAAGTTTTACAAGGGACCATGTGTGTAAATTTACTGTTTTAATGATTACCAACATCTAGGACACATCCTGTCCCAAAAAGTTACTTCATACCTGTGTGGTTTTGGGGTTTCTGTAATAATTGAATAAATCAACAATGAATAATAAAAATAAACAAAAACCATTACAACTGTAATATTTTAGATTCAGAGAGGTATAGGGTTTTCTAGAGAATTGTATTTTTAAATCCACTTTCTGAAGTTTTAGATAATGGTAGCTAATGTGTGCTATTAATTCAATTAAATGTCCTTAGTAAATGTAAAAGTGTTGTTTCTACAATTTATATTTTGCTATACTTCTGAGAGTAATCTAGTGTTAGATTTCTCTTATAAATCATCAACATTTTTAAATTGAAAGTTTAGCCTTGCTTTGTATATATTTTATTATTCTAAATCCCTTTCATGGTACAATATGAACTCCAGCAGGCATATCATTTATTTGTGCATCATATTCATGGCAGAAACAACATTGGCTGTATAATCTTTAGTCTTCACCAGTTTTCAAAATGTAAAAGTCATTTTGGTAATGATTTGATTACAGATATATGCATATACATGCATATATTACATAAATATTATATATGTTATATACTTTATATATTAGTTCTATCTTATATGGTTGTGTGTATATTAGAAATTATTATGATACAAATCAAAGCATGTCTTATTATATATTATTTTTGTAAAATAAATGTCTCCATATGAATATACAGAGAATGTCACAGTTCTAGTTAAATTCTAAAACTTATTTTTTACTTTATAATATGCATTTTGCCTAATTAGGTTGGGTGGCTACATTTATTGTAAGTAGATTTAATGTCAAATAATATGACATTGAACATTAAATTAATGGGGCAATTTACATGTGAACTTTAAGAGGAGATCAAATAAGCCATAAGATAAAAATACCATAAATTTCATTACCAATAATTACTTAATAAATTGACCAGAAAATAATACAAATTGCTCATTGGTGTCCGCTGCTGAGCTGTCAAAAAAAGAATAAAATATTAGTTAGAGGACAGTTTTCAGATTATCTTAATATGAAAATTTAGGCTGGATATAGAGTACAGGCTTTAAATACATGATGTTGTTTCTACACAATACATCCTGGCAAGTAATAGATTGATGCATAAGGCCATGGGCAGCAGTTACTTGGTAGCTGGCTTCCTACATTCATCATGTAGAAAAACTGCTGATCGTGTTTTAGTTTTTCACCTGTATACACAAACACAAATATGGATTGTCATCCAAAGCAGCATCTTTGAAAAGATAGGTCACTGATCTCCCCCAAGGAAAGCTTTCATGAAAATATTTCTTTTAAACACTTACTTTTGGGCTCATTTTGACATAACTGTCCTATCATGTTTGAATCAAAAGTTCTATTTTGTTATGGTTACACTGTCAGCTTTACTCTGGCATTCAGATGTAATTCATACTTTTCAACCATTGACTAGAAGGGGGGAACACTTTGGAATTAAATGATATTAACAAAATGCTACAGAAGTGTAAGTGGTTTACTATCACACACTGCTTATGCAATTTTATCAGTATTAGTACTTCTAAACGTAGTAGTAACACGAATTTTAAATTAAATATATTAATAAATAGAGATAAAAATTATATGAACCAATAACAATGTCTGAAATCTTTCTTCCTGGGGATTCAAAAAGGAGCCTTTCTCAAGAAATTTTCAGTATACATGTGAATTTAAGACAAACACAGGCCAGGCACAGTGGCTCACACCTGTAATCCCAGCACTTGGGGAGGCCAAGGTGGGCAGATCACGAGGTCAGGAGTTTGAGATTATCCTGACCAACATGGTGAAACCCCGTCTCTACTAAAAATACAAAAATTTGCTGGGTGTGGTGACATGCTCCTGTAATCCCAGCTACTCAGGAGGCTGAGGCAGGAGAGTCGCTTGAACTTGGGAGTCAGAGGTTGCAGTGAGCTGAGATCACGCCATTGCACTCCAGCCTGGATGACAGACCAAGACTCTGTTTCAGAGAAAAAAAAAAAAGACAAACACACAAAAAAATGCTAAATAGTAATATGATTGATTCATAAAAATTGAACACTAATAAATTTGAAGTATAATGCCTGTACATGATTAACCAGCAAAAGAAAGGGTCAGATGTTTATTAGCAATATGAGTTAAGACTCTTGCCTGAAGATTTGTAATCAAGGAAGAAATTGAAGCGTGTCAAAAGAAAAGGGCAGTTTGAGTGGTAGATATTGAAGGGATATTATTTCAGGAGTCTAGAAAAATATTACAAAGAATGAGTGTTAAAATGTTCAGAAAAGGTGGTGAAGATCATGTTTATAATAATTTGGCCAGAGATGAGGGTTCCAAAGATGAAGTTGTATGAGTAATAGTCTAGAAAAGTAGTTTGCCATAAAACTACATGGAACATGAAATTCCAGGCTGAAGAACAGTATTAAGACTATTGGATAGTCTAGGAGTGAGAAACCAACTTGTGCTTACATCAATGAATAATAGAAGGTAACAGACTTAAAGAAATACTATTACAACTGCTCAAAATGGATGACCTGTAACTCACTGGATATATGAGTACATGGAGAAAGAGAAGTGAAAGAAAACTACAAGTTTTTTGCCTGGTAACTGAGATATGAGGAATAGCAATAACTTCCACACTATGTATAAGAAACGAAGCTAATAAAAATAGTAACAATGATAAATATTACCTTGTATAAGATCTTTGTTATAATAACATATAATTATTCAATTGAATTAATACATGTATGGTATTTTTAAATTTAAGACAAGCACCTATTGTAATATTAAGTCTTCTACCACATTGGACAACATTTTCAAAATAGAAACATTGTTAATAGTAATATAAGTGCAAATTATTGAGTATTTATTTTGTGCCCACTGCTATGAGACACACTTATTTTGTATACCTCATTTCATTCTTTTCATTCTTACAAATATTTTGAGCTATTATTATCCCTATTTTTCAGATGTGGACTAAAGTGAAAATTTCATAGCTGAATAAGAAGTAACAATATAGTACTGAATTCCATAAAGATAATTCATATATCTGTTTTGTTCATTTAGTACCTAGTTTAGTGTTTGTCATTTAGTAAGTGCTCAACAAACATGTGTCAAGAAAAAAATAAATTAAAAAATTATGATTATGCTAGTAATGATAACAGCTGACACTGATTGAGTGGTAAGTGCTATGTTTATGTGACTTACAGATATCTAGCATTATAAAACTGATTAATATTTTGGATTAAAAACAAAAATAGTCTGAAGTTCTTTAACGTGTTTATAGTGAATGCACAGATAACATTTTCAGGCAGTGTGCCCTTGTGCTGGCACACGTGCGCACTCACACACAGACTTAGGGAACATGATGAGCTGCAGCATTGAAACAAGATCAGTTTTCTCTCATTTTGCTGCAAATAAGGGAAAACCCAAGTATTAAGAAGAGGTTGATGAACATACTGCCTCCAAAGCTAAGTAAATAGAACATGCTTTATATTGTAATTCAAGATTGTGAAGGAGACAGATGTTCCAAAGATTTCAAGCATCAGGAGAATACTCAGTCTTATAGTCAATTTTTAGTGTTAGATGTCTGAATCTCAAATATCTATTTGGTAATGAGGAAAGAATAAAACAGGAAAAAATAGCAAGCTACCACCCAGAGTACAGGACCGCCTTGGTGTTCTTCCTCCCTCCTTCCTATTCAACAGCTGGGGATAGGGAGTGAAGAGAGTAACTTAGGAGATAATTTGATCAGAGAAATAATAACTTTGATTCCTCAGACAAAATTCTCCATTACTTAGCAGTGATATATACACACATTCTATTGACCAAAGACAAGAATTGTAGTACCTGAATTACATTTATGAATATGCTACAAGTTCTGCTGTAAATTTAACCTCTATTTCAGTAATTTGGGATTCCACCTCATGAAAATTTTTAGAATATCCATATGACTATGGGTATTTCAATTTTTCTTTGATAGTTTGAGGCCAAATGGGCAACAAATGGGAAACTTTGTCAGTCAAAGCAGTCTGACTCACATAGTTTGGAGCAATTGCATTAAAAACCAAAAGGCATGCAGTTAGATTTACTCAAAGAGGGATGGAAGTTAAGAAAGCCAGGGGATAACAATGAGAGGACTGTTAGAACCTAGTCAGGATAGCTTGCCATACATAAAGAATTCTGTCCATCACTCACAAAAGTCTCCTTGAATCCCCGTGTAACTATGGTGGGACTGAATGTTGAACATGAAGGGAAATCTATATTCAACATGTGAAGTATCTCAACCACAACAAAATTAATAAACTCAGTGAGGTAAATAAGCAATTAGTTCAATTAGTTAGAATTGGTCAAAATAGGTTTGTTGTCAATTGAACATTTTGACTATTTGGGTCAGAATAGACAAAAAATTTGACATGACAAAAATGAAAACAGAGTTATATATTAACATAGTGGATATTTGTTAGAATTAATTGAAGTTCAGAGCAAAATAATTATTTGAATTTGGTCATTAAGTAAAACAAAAAACCGATGATCTAAAAATGTCCACTTAAAAAATACTGAAAAAGGTACATAATTAATCAAATTTCCATTTGTTTATATGTAGAGTAAAAATACTGTATATTTCATTTGTTTAAATGGATTTTAAAATATAAGAAAAATTGTCGGGCATAATGGCTCACGCCTGTAATCCCACCACTTTGGGAGGCCGAGATGGGTGGATCACCTGAAGTCAGGAATTAGAGACCAACCTGGCCAACATGGTGAAACCCCTCTCTACTAAAAATACAAAAATTAGCCAGGCGTGGTGACATGCTCCTGTAATCCCAGCTACTCCGTAGACTGAGGCAGGAGAATCGCTTGAACCTGGGAGGCGAAGGTTGCAGTGAGCCGAGATTGCACCACTGCACACCAGCCTGGGCAACAGAGTGAGACTCCATCTCAAAACAATAAATAAATAAAATAAAAATAAAAGGTATGAAAAATAATTTGTTGGAAATTTAAAATCTTCACTGAAGAAAATTATTTAATCTCTGCTATTGTGATATCATAAGACTATTAAATATATCTTTTACCATGGCCTCGCTTCAATTATGATATAGCCTTTCATTTTTAGATGAGTCATTCATAATTTTAAAGATAGCTTATTATAATTTAAAAGGGGGCAGGATATGAAACCAATTAGGTAAAATTAGAAAACAAAATGTGTGAAGATAAATATGAGAAAAATAAGATATAGTATAATACTAGAAACATTATATATTATCAAATGAAAGTGATTTTAAATTGTAGTTCAGATATACCTATATACATGCAGTTTCAGAAAAAGTATGTATAGGAAACGATCTTATAAAAAAAACAAGGAGAAAAGATAATGGGATTCAAAAGAAGAACCAGCATTGCAATATTTTTAATAATTTTTATATGAAATTAGTTACATCATTGTAAATTTTATCACTTTATTGACAATCAGATTATATGAACTAATGATTAGTTTAAACTGGAAGCTTGAGATACATTGTGATGTCAGGAAACCATATATGATTAGAAAAAAATATAAAGCCACCCTTTCTAACTAGTAGAGCTCTCCATGTTTTTGTTTTGCCTTTATTTTCATGTAAAATTATTCCTGAAATATTTCTATACATCACAGGAAGAATTGTGCCTTTTCCTTGTTACAAAAGTGATCAAGAACTTTGGGCTTCCTGGACTGCCATGGAGAATGGGATGGAATGAGGATTAGAATTCAGTAGAGGATTTTTAAAACCCAAAGAATAGAAAATGTTCCCATTTAATCAGGCTTAGGTTTTTAATCGATTTGGGGATAAGAACAGAAACGCTTTTGTTTGCTGTTCCATGTCTTTAAATAGTCTAGTGGGAGGAAATCATCAAAGTGTATTCTGTAAATGTGGAATTAACAAGGCAAAACTAAAGACACTTAGGTTTGCATCATAAATTGTGACTATTGACTAAATTGCCTAGAGAAAGTTCTAATCTGCCTTTCTGGTTATCTAATAAGTTAAACTTTTCCATTTCCCAATTGGAAAATATTGGCTCAGCTTTGTCAACACACGTAGTGCCAATCAAATGGAAGTGTTAGCTTATTTCCATAAGAATAATATTTTGGCAGAAACTATTCTCATGTATATAAAAATTTAGAATCTCATGTGAATGGCATTTTAATTTAAAAGAAATCTGAGTATTTATGTCAACGTTGTCTACATAAAAGTCTACTTTTCTATGTAGAAATAAAGTGATAATGAGAAATTATACTACTTTGGAGATGTAAAAAATTGGTTTTTGAAAGAATACTTAAAAGCAGATTTTCTTCATAAGATGTCACTTTTTAAAAAGCATCAAAGCCTTAATCTTTCCTTATTTTATTGAAATAAGAGTGGTTAGTAGCACTTCACTGAGTTTTGTACAATTTCTATATATATGTAATTCCACAGCTTTTTATTGCATGCACTTAACTTTTATGCTCCAGAATGACTTAACTATGATTATTGTAAATATCAGAAGTTGAGTGTCAACTGGTATTTAGATTTATAATCTAATTTATATTACAATAAGATTGTCTATTATTTGGCTAAAAGAAAATCTTTTACATTTTGCATTTGAATTAGTATTTGATAAATAGGAAAAAGCATTTACATTCTTACCTGTCTGTAAGTTTAATTGAAAAAGCTAACTTGTTTATTTATACCTATGTACTAAGTTCTGTATCCTGGATGAAATAGTTTCACATATTAAAGTTAAAAATAATGTGATATAAATTTTAGGCAAATGAATGATTGAAATTGAAGAATATGTTTATTTTCTTGTGTCTCTTTTAAGACTAAGAGCAAAAAGCCCTTGATTTCATTCTCTAAGTTAGATCACATGATTTATGAGATAAAATACGGAATTTCTTTTCTAAACTTTGGGTTAAAACCTCTTGAAATAGGATATGATTTTGTGCATTAAGATGTGATATGGCTGAGGTGCCTCTGATCTTGCATAATTAAAAATTTTACTTTATCTATTGTCTTAGGGTTTATTAGTGTATATTATGCTAAACAAATTTCACAACAAAATTTATTAACCTGAATTCAGGAAACCACTTTTTCATTTTCTATAATATCTTAATTTTTCCTATTTGTCTTGAAATGAGAATCAAGTTTGTGGAATCATAGCAAACAACTTAAATGTTCATATTTATCCTAAAACAGAAAATAAAGACTTACTCCTGCTTTATTTTGTGTCCATTAGTCACAGCTAACTCTAATTAGGACAACGCTGGAGAAACACATTCTTTACTGTTCAACTTTTCTACTTCACAATCTATGTAGCTCAGCACGCCTCTATTGGTATTACCAGCCTCATGAAGTTTAAGTTTCTAATATCATAGCTTATTTTTAAATAGAATACAATGAGGGTTGCTACTTTCTATTACATTCAGTGAGCCATTTAGCTATCATTAATAAATTATACCCAAGTGTACATTTTACTAGATAACCTTTATTCCACATGTCTTCGATATTGATATTTTGTAATTTCCATATATATATATATATATATATATATATATATATATATATATGCGCAGTTTTTAACCTGATGCGTGGTTTTTGCAGTGCCTCTTATTTTTGAACTTTCAGCCCTCTTCTCATTAGATCTACAAAAGAAATTAGTATTTCCCAAACTGTGATCCAAGAATACTGGTTTATATAAGATTTTGATAATTTTTAGCAAAATAAGTTTTTCTAAGGCTAAATTCATTTAACTTATTTTTAGTATTATATTTCTTCTATGAAAAAAGTATTCATAATACATATAAATTGTAGTAAAATTTTTTTCCTAAATTAGTAATTTTGGGAAAATAAAATGCTGGCAATTCTATATAGGACTAGCAACAATTCCTTTCTTCCTTCCTTTTTCTCCTCTTCCTCCAGGAATAACTATTGGGCTAATAAAGTTTTTCAGGTTTTATTTTTTTTAGAAAGATTGTTCACTGAAAATGAGGCTGCCTTAATGGTCTTGAGATGAGTGGAAAGGTCTGACAAAGACAGATCAAAAATGTTGATGATACTGGAATCATTCCCTCAAAGCAGACCTGGCAGATTTTACCTGAGTGCCCTGAAAGCTTAGCCGACTGGTTTTCCATAGAGAGGAAGTTGTGGGAATGGTGAGAAATTCTAGCAAGAACCTGTAACTTGGCAGGAAGTTGTAAATATTTGGGAGGAAGAAAATATAGCAAAGGCCTCAGCTTGAGTCTAAGAAAGATTTGCAGAGGAGTGGATTTGTCTAGTGACCAGGTACTCCAAGTCTCCTAAAGCATATTTTCTTAGAGGCCGAGACGCCTCCCCAGAAAGAATTCAAACCTTATCCACCGCATATAGTAAAATTTGTTGGAACAACTGTCATAATTTAAGTGGACTGTTAAAGCACATTTTCCAAATGATTGGAAAGTTTTTATTACTACTTTCTATATTGTGTCTTTAGCATTGTGGAAATAAAACCAAATTTGTAAAATTTTTGCTCTTTTAATTTGGTGACTTTTTTCTGCAGACTTCAATTCTGTTAAATGTTATGCTGTAAAATCTAATGTATTCTTTGTGGCATACAAGGCTTAGTGAATATTTGTTAATCTATCTTTTAATTATACATATATGTAGACCTCATTCAATAATTGACTGATATAACCTTCAATCCTAACTTGCTGGGTACACACTCTATGATTAACGGCCAATCAGAGAGCTTCCTGAACTTCTGTTTCTCCCTGTTGTGAAATGTGATTTTAACAGTAAATACTGCATAGGGCTCTTTTCCCCCCAGCTTTATTGAGACATAATTGGCATATAAAATTATACATATTTAAGGTATACAATGTGATATTTTGATATACCTATACACTGTAAAATGATTTCCCCAATAAAGCAAATTAACATATCCATCACCTCACATAGTTACATTTTGTGTGTGTGTGTGATAAGACATTTAATATCTACTCTCTTGCAAATTACAAGTGTACAATACCGTATCATTGACTATAATCACCATGCAGTAGATAAGATCTTTGGGAAGTATTCACCCTACATAACTGAAACCTTAAATGGGGAGTTGTAGGTTAACAGGTACACAGTTTTAACTATGCACAGAGTTCTAATGGGGGTTATGTGAGATCATTCTCATGAGGTTCTTACTTCAGTCTGTGGCACATGAAAAAGAGTTGATTCAAGTTAGTTTTTTTGTTTGTTTGTTTAAATAATTCCGACATTTAATATTGTGGAAAAATCTGGGCTTATCATGAATTGTGCACTTGTGTAGTTTCTAGTCTGGTCTTGCTTCTGTAACAAAATACCTGGGACTGGGTAATTTATAAAGAACAGAAATTTATTTCTCAGAGTTCTGGAATCTGGGAAGTCGAAGATCACTGTACTGGCAGGTTCAGTTATGAGGGCTGCATCCTCCAGAGGAGAGAAATGCTGTGTCTTCATATGTCATAAGGTCAAAGAGCAAGAGATCTGAACACTGCACAAAGCTTCTTTTTATAAGGGCCTTAATCCCATTCATGAGGGAGCAGCCTAATCACCTCTTAAAGGCCCCATCTCCTAACACTATCACATTGACCATCAAGTTTCAACATCTGAATTTTGGATGGAACACATTCAACCATATCAGATGGGTAACCTGTCTTTTTTTTTTTTTTTTTGCTAGTATGCTTATAGAACTTGCATTTCATTCAACATTATTGTCAAGACATTTCTCTTTTTACTAATGTCTTATTGATAAATACTATGCTTTATTTTTGTTGTAAGCTCAGATTGCTTTCAACTTAAGAAAGTTTGCCTAACAATATGCTTATACTTCTGTTCTGAGACTCTAGCTTCTTTATCAAAATCTCTATATTATTTCATCTGCAGCACTACTTTCCCACATTTATGACCCTTAATCAATATTCTTATTTCTCTTCTTTTATTCTTCAGTAGGGTTCATATGCTTCCAAATGTGATAAGAATGCATTTTTCTACTCCACCACAAGACTTTTCCCCCATTTTAGTAATCTGATTTCTTTCTGAGCAGCATTTCAGCTATTATTACCTGAAGGTAACAATAGCACATACTGGTAAGGGGTTAAGTGCTTTTAGGGAAGAAGGCATATTTGACATAGGGAGGGTTCCTATCAGACAGATGTAAAGGCCTTCCTATAAAAAGAATGTCTGGGGTGGAAAATAAGTTTCTTGGCATTTTGGTCTCTGTACTTTCCTATCTTCTTTAGAATTATTGTGGGCTCTGGCCAGCAGCCCGCAATGTAACGGGGCTCTCTCTTTGTTCCCAGGTGGATTGACAGGTCGAGAAATAATAGACACACACAAGATACTGAAAGCTGGGTCCAGGGGGGTCACCGTCTTCTGGTCCCGTGGTGCCACCAATGCACTGGATATACCAGCATTTATTATTAAGTTTAGTGAGGGTGGGGATAGGTTAGTGAGGGATTTAGGGTCATTTGATTATGAGGTGAGATGGTCACATGGGGATGAAGTAATTCTTTAACATAACATCTGTATGCAGAAGTACAGTATACAGAGATAAGAATTTACAATATAATGTGTGCATCAGTAATTTCTAACAGAGCCTTAAAACAGAAACACAGTCTTTCCACAACCTATGATTAGCAAGATATTAATAAGCAGTAACAGTTGCAGCAAAAGCTGGTTACAAACAATCCATAGAAACAGGATGTGAAGCTACACAACCAGTTAGACCAGAAATTCTCAGAAGGGAGTATGCCTTAACCCTAAAGAGGCCTAGAAGAGCCCTGGCAAGATAAGGGCGTTTGTAGCCCTATCTTATCCATATGGACAGGCACCCCCCCATGCATCCGTTTATAGGCTCTCCACAAGGGTCACATTCCATTCCCAGAGCTATGAACATCTGCTTTTCTGGGATAGGAATCTTGGTGATGTGAAACCTCCTCGACTGCACATCCATTCATAGGCTCTCTGCAGGGGGAAGCACATCATGCGTTATTGGCTCATTCTGGCAGTCCAACCTGGCATTGTCTTTACACAATCCTGCATGCAATTTTGTATTTACAATAATCAGGAGCAATTCATCTTTTATTCTGTAGCAATAGTTTCAGGGTGTCTCCCTACATAGAATGATATATAAAACTTGGCATTCATATTAATGGGATAATAAAACTGATTTCCCCACTCCATCTCCATTGCCTCTCCCACATGTTTTTTTTTCTTTTCTTGGTAACTTGTTCCATTTCATTCAGCACTATCTCATTATTGCATTAGATATTGGAAGAGCAAATACTATCTAGAAAGATAAAATATATAAAATAGGATGAGTTCCCATAACATGGGAAGGGGAAGCTCTTCAGACACTGGAAAGAAGTGTCAAGGAATAAAACAGGGATATTACACATTGAGAAGGACTGCTTTTGACTTTCAGATCCCAAAAGGCAGCAAGACTTAGGAGTAGTAGTTGGCTTAAGAGAAAAAAAATAGGCAAAGGAAGTTCGAACCTTGGTCCAATAGAGTAGCAAAAATGTGAAATATACTCCTGGCTCCCCACAACCTGCATATAGAAGATAGGAGATCCAGGTATACAGGATGTCTCAAGGGCCCACCAGTTCAGAGGCAGTGGAAAATAACAGAAAGTTGATCGATGAGCTCCCTTGGAGGCTTATTTTGGTGATGGGAATATTTGCGATACACTGAGTGTATAGCACTGACTGCTCCTGTTAAGGATTAGGCTTATCACCTTAAATCCCATAAAATCAGCAATGAGAATACAGCAGACACAATAGTGATGTTTCTAAGCAGTTGACTGACAGCCCCTGTTAGGTAAGCTGGACTGAGGGACAAGGTCATGTCCTCATAGAAAAGTCACAAACCTCGCTGGCTAGTATCTGTGGTTCTGTAGTAGAGGCACTTCTCAGGGTGAAGAGGAGGTGGGTGTTGGCCTAGTCCCCAAGCCTTTTTAAATATACATATCAAATTATTAACACCAAAATGAGACATTGTTTTTTGTTTTAGTTTTTGTTTTAATTTTAGAAGTGGGATAGCGGAAAAACCCAAAGTGATCATCTGCTCTTAGCACAGAGCTAAGCGTCTAAGAAGAATGCTGTATTTAGCTATAGGAAAATGTTGATGCTGACAGTAAGGGAAATCTTAATTGCCAATGATGACCAAAAATAAGAGACAGACCAGTGAGAGATGGAGATGATAGTTGTAAATAATTTGATTTCCATTTAACTATGAGAGTGTTAATGAAACTAGGGGAGGTGACAACTGCTTTCACTCTATATTTGTGTAGAAATATGAGTTTACATGTACAATTTAACTCAAATTGAACAAATAATATTGATGAGTTTATGAAAGCCAGGGTTAAGCATAATTTAATCATAATGCTTCTTTCCTGTTACTTGACTAAAATGAGTTTTAACTTTAAGTACATGATTGTAATCCCCAAACTCAAAATGTTAAATAGGCTTCTTTAAGAAAAAATCAAGTAATTATTGGCAACAGCAGAATGACAACTGGAAAATGTATTACTTAACTGGTATCATTTCTTTACCTGCCCACCTGCTCACTATAACAACATGCTACCATATACTGTGTGAGGATAAACGAGAAAATCACGAAAACCACTTCAGCACCATCATTTTTCCCCTCAGTTATATGAACGTATTTGTTTCCAAATTACCTTAAATTGCATTGTAGCCTTAATTTTCCAACAATTATAGGACTTTTGAGTAGAAGTAGAAAACTCTTCAGATTACTTAGGGTAGAGATAAGAATTTTATGTGATTTCAAAATTAATTTTTATTCTACAACCTTTGAAGTTCCCTCAAACATACTGTGTTTAAAAGAAGACAAAGCCTTGCTCCCTTAGGAGTTCCTATGAGACTAGTCACAATTTTTCACTTTAATTTTGACTCAGAATATCACAATAAAGTGCTTTTTTTGGAGCATGACCTTTGAAATCTCAACTAAAAACTGGAGCAGAGGGTAGTGTAATCGAAAGAAATGAAAGTTAACCTAAAAGTGTCACTTTCAAAAATATTTAGCTGAGGATCAAGTGTGGGTGAGGATTTAAAAAATCAGATTATTAATTTTTTTCCCTCTAAAATGTACAATCATCTAGGCACAGCAGGGAGACCAAGAAGCCATCTGTCTTCCCCTTTCTCTCACTTGCTCCCGTTTCTGGAAGCATGGCAGATAATCCTGCAATTACAGATGGAAGGAAAGTGAGTCCTTTGACACCAGTATCCTCCCCTCAGTTTTTCTCTGTATCAGTTCACCCATTTCCAAGTCAGTGTAGGCTCTTTTAAAAAAGATTAAAGGCCGGATAGTAGAACCACTTTCAACTTTCACGTAATCAGTTGCAGTAAATCACATACAAAACAGTTCTCTTACTTTCCTTTTTTCATTCTTACCAAAATTCCTTCTTTATTTCTTTCTCTCCAATTTTATCACGAGTATCACTTTTTAGTCATTCTTTAATCACCAACATCAGCAATAATCAGTAATAATTAAAGGTCAATATCTAGTTGACACACTACTAAGTGGTAGATTCTATAGTGAAGGGGGCCAGAAAAAAACACCATATTCAAAGAACATGCACTTTCATGCTTAAAGTAGAATACTAAGGGCAAATAATTACAAAATATTATATTATTTTATTATTATACTTTAAGTTCTAGGGTATATATGCACAACGTGCAGGTTTGTTACATATGTATATATGTACCATGTTGTTGTGCTGCACCCATTAACTTGTTATTTACATTAGGTATTTCTCCTAATGCTATCCCACCCACAGCCCCCCACCCCATGACAGCCCCCCAGTGTGTGATGTTCCCCACCCTGTATCCAAGTGTTCTTATTGTTCAATTCCCACCTATGAGTGAGAACATGTGGTGTTTGGTTTTCTGTCCTTGCGATAGTTTGCAGAGAATGATGGTTTCCAGTTTCATCCATGTCCCTACAAAGGACATGAACTCATCCTTTTTTACAGCTGCATAGTATTCCATAGTGTATATGTGCCACATTTTCTTAATCCAGTCTATCATTGGTGGGCATTTGGGTTGGTTCCAAGTCTTTGCTATTGTAAATAGTGCTGCAGTAAACATAGATGTGCATGTGTCCTTATAGTAGCATGATTTATAATCCTTTGGATATATACACAGTAATGGGATCACTGGATCAAATGGTATTTCTATTTCTAGATCCTTGAGAAATCACCACACTGTCTTCCACAATGGTTGAACTAGTTTACAGTTCCATCAACAGTGTAAAATTGTTCCTATTTCTCCACATCCTCTCCAGCACCTGTTGTTTCCTTTTTAATGATTGCCATTCTAACTGGTATGAGATGGTATCTCATTGTGGTTTTGATTTGCATTTCTCTGATAACCAGTGATCATGAGCATTTTTTCATGTGTCTATTGACTGCATAAATGTCTTCTTTTGAGAAGTGTCCGTTCAGATCCTTCGCCCACTTGTTGATGGGGTTGTATGATTTTTTCTTGTAAATTTTTTTAAGTTCTTTGTAGATTCTGGATATTAGCCCTTTGTCAGATGGGTAGATTGCAAAAATTTTCTCCCATTCTGTAGGTTGCCTCTTCACTCTGATGGTAGTTTCTTTTGCTATGCAGAAACTCTTTAGTTTAATTAGATCCCATTTGTCTATTTTGGCTTTTGTTGCCATTGCTTTTGGTGTTTTAGTCATGAAGTCCTTGTCCATGACTATGTCCTGAATGGTATTGCCTAGGTTTTCTTCTAGGGTTTTTATGATTTTATGCCTAACATTGAAGTCTTTAATCCATCTTGAATTAATTTTTGTATAAGGTGTAAGGAAGGGATCCAGTTTCAGCTTTCTACATATGGCTAGCCATTTTTCCCAGCACCATTTATTAAATAGGGAATCCTTTCCCCATTTCTTGTTTTTGTCAGGTTTGTCAAAAATCAGATGGTTGTAGATGTGTGGTATTATTTTTGAGGTCTCTGTTCTGTTCCATTGGTCTATATCTCTGTTTTGGTACCAGTGTCATGCTGTTTTGGTTACTGTAGCCTTGTAGTATAGTTTGAAGTCGGGTAGCATGATGCCTCCAGCTTTGTTCTTCTTGCTCAGGACTGTCTTGGCTATGCAGGCTCTTTTTTCATTCAATATGAACTTTAAAGTAGTTTTTTCCAATTCTGTGAAGAAAGTCATTGGTAGCTTGATGGGGATGGCATTGAATCTATAAATTACCCTGGGCAGTATGGCCATTTTCACAATGTTGATTCTTCCTATCCCTGAGCATGGAATGTTATTCCATTTGTTTGTGTCCTCTCTTATTTATTTGAGCAGTGTTTTGTAGTTCTCCTTGAACAGGTCCTTCACAACCCTTGTAAGTTGGATTCCCAGGTATTTTATTCTCTTTGAAGCAATTGTGAATGGGAGTTCACTCATGATTTTGCTGTTTGTCTGTTATTGGTGTATAAGAATGCTGGTGATTTTTGCTCATTGATTTTGTATCCTGAGACTTTGCTGAAATTGCTTATCAGCTTAAGGAGATTTTGGGCTGAGACCATGGGGTTTTCTAAATATACAATCATGTCACCTGCTAACAGGGACAATTTGACTTCCTCTTTTCCTAATTGAATACCCTTTATTTCTTTCTCCTGCCTGATTGCCCTGGCCAGAACTTCCAACACTACGCTGAATACGAGTGGTGAGAGAGGCCATCCCTGTCTTGTACCAGTTTTCAAAGGGAATGCTTCCAGTTTTTGCCCATTCAGTAAGATATTGGCTGTGGGTTTGTCATAAATAGCTCTTATTATTTTGAGATATGTTCCATCAATACCCAGTTTATTGAGAGTTTTTAGCATGAAGGACTGTTGAATTTTATCAAAGGACTTTTCTGCATCTATTGAGATAATCATTTGATTTTTGTCTTTGGTTCTGTTTATGTGATGGATTACATTTATTGATTTGCATATGTTGAACCAGGCTTGCATTCTAGGGATGAAGCCCCCTTTATCATGGTGGTATTTTATTGAGGATTTTTGCATTGATGTTCATCAGGTATATTGGTCTAAAATTCTCTTTTTTTTGTTGTGTCTCTGCCAGGCTTTGGTATCAGGATGATGCTGGCCTCATAAAATGAGTCAGGGAGGATTCCCTCTTTTTCTATTGATTGGAATTGTTTCAGAAGGAATGGTACTAGCTCCTCCTTGTACCTCTGGTAGAATTCGGCTGTGAATCCATCTGGTCCTGGACTTTTTTTGGTTGGTAGGCTATTAATTATTGCTTCGACTTCAGAGCCTGTTATTGGTCTATTCAGGGATTCAACTTCTTCCTGGTTTAGTCTTGGGAGGATGTATGTGTCCAGGAATTTATCCATTTCTTCTAGATTTTCTAGTTTATTTGAGTAGAGGTGTTTATAGTATTCTCTGATGGTAGTTTGTATTTCTGTGGAATTGGTTGTGATCTCCCTTTTATCATTTTTATTGCATCTGTTTGATTCTTCTCTCTTTTCTTCTTTATTAGTCTTGCTAGTGGTCTATCAATTTTGTTGATCTTTTCAAAAAACCAGCTCCTGGATTCATGGATTTTTTGAAGAGTTTTTTGTGTTTCTATCTCCTTCAGTTCTGCTCTGATCTTAGTTATTTCTTGCCTTCTGCTAGCTTTTGAATGTGTTTGCTCTCGCTTCTCTAGTTATTTTAATTGTGATGTTGGGGTGTTGATTTTAGATATTTCCTGCTTTCTTTTGTGGGAATTTAGTGCTATAAATATCCCTCTACACATTGCTTTAAATGTGTCCCAGAGATTCTGGCGTGTTGTGTGTTTGTTCTCATTGGTTTCAAAGAACATCTTTATTTCTGCCTGCATTTCGTTATTTACCCAGTAGTCATTCAGGAGCAGGTTGTTCAGCTTCCACGTAGTTGTGCAGTTTTGAATGAGTTTCTTAATCCTGAGTTCTAATTTGATTGCACTGTGGACTGAGAGACAGTTTGTTGTGATTTGTCTTCTTTCATATTTGCTGAGGATTGCTTCACTTCCAACTATGTGGTCAATTTTGGAATAAGTGAGATGTGGTGCTGAGAAGAATGTATATTCTGTTGATTTGGGGTGGAGAGTTCTGTAGATGTCTATTAGGTCCACTTGGTGCAGAGCTGAGTTCAAGTCCTGGATATCCTTGCTAACCTTCTGTCTCGTTGATCTGTCTAATTTTGACAGTGGGGTGTTGAAATCTCCCATTATTATTGTGTGGGAGTCTAAGTCTCTTTGTAGGTCTCTAAGGACTTGCTTTATGAGTCTGGTTGCTCCTGTATTGGGTGCGTATATATTTAGGATAGTCAGGTCTTCTTGTTGAATTATCCCTTTACCATTATGTAATGGCCTTCTTTGTCTCTCTTGATCTTTGTTGGTTTAAAGTCTGTTTTATCAGAGACTAGGAGTCTGCAGAAGTTTCTGCTGCCTTTTGTTTAGCTATGTCCTGCCTCCATAGGTGGAGTCTACAGAGGCAGGCAGGCCTGGTTAAGCTGTGGTGGGCTCCACCCAGTTCGAGCTTCCTGGCCACTTTGTTTACCCACTCAAGCCTCAGCAATGGTGGATGTCCCTACCCCAGCCTGGCTGCCACCTTGCAATTCGCTCTCAGTCTGCTGTGCTAGCAGTGAGCAAGGCTCCGTGGGCATGAGATCTGCCAAGCCAGGCGTGGGATATAACCTCCTGGTGTGCCATATGCTAAGACTGTTGTAAAAGTGCAGTATTAGGGCAGGAGTGTCCCGATTTTCCAGGTACCGTCTGTTAAGGCTTCCCTTAGCTAGGAAAGGGAAATCCCCTGACCCCTTGTGCTTGCCAGGTGAGGAGGTGCCCCGCCCTGCTTCAGCTCACCCTCTGTGGGCTGCACACACTGTCCAAGTAGTCCCAATGAGATGAACCAGGTACCTCAGTCGGAAATGCAGAAATCACCCATCTTCTGTGTTGATCATGCTGGGAGCTGCAGACCACAGCTGTTCCTATTCAGCCATCTTGGAACAATCTCTCCACAAAATATTATTTTTAATCAGATATCCTCTGTTTTTCCAAAATGATAGAACTTGTTTCATTATGCTATACATATGAAAGGTCGTAAATAGCTGTTCGGTTTTTAAAGTAACTGAAATTCAGACATTTTTTATAATAAAATATATTAGTTTGTATTCATTCCTTAAGCCTATTCTGTTATTTTTAAATAATACTAGTAAAAAAGTTAATTATACCACATATCTCCTTTTATTTACATATAATACATGCTATTTACATCCTTTGTGTCTTCAACACTTACAACAACCCTTTGATGTTTATGCTATTTTATCTCCCTTTTACAGATGGATAAAACAGAAGTTCAGCCTCCTGAGTCATCAGTCTTGTTTGGGTAAGAATGGACAGGATAAGGCCTATGCTTGTTAAAAAACAATTCTCACATCCTAACTTTTATCAATCAAGCACAAATGTATATACAATTTCTATCAATTCCTCACTTCAAAATTGATAGCTTCCAGTTACCAAACTTTTTACTGCATAGCTACTGGGTATAAGGGAAAGAGTAACTGACCTTAATCCTATAGAGTACCACAAGTAGCTGTAACTCTCTAATGAGTTGCCAGTGATTCTTTTCAAGCAATTGTCCACTTCAGGATTGTTTCTTTCTTCTCCTTGCATAGAAAAGTACGCTAAAATTGTGTGGCTACTTTGGTTATTTGGGATTTGTATTTTATGGAACAAAATTTTATGTAAATTTTTTCTTTAAGCAAATAATCTTCCCTTCTAAGACTATAAAGTTTCCAGTATACTTGCAACAAAGTCACTCATAATTTAGATGAGCCTCTGAGGTATGAAATTTATGAAAACCAAGATTGACTTAAAAAGGACTTTGATTTACTTCATTTACTGTAATATAAGATCTTATCATTGTGAATATTTTTCTGTGTTTCTATACAAACATATGAGCTTAATAATTTATTAAACTAATTATTTTATTTATCTAAACCAAAAACTTTTAAAGCAAGAAAATAATAGGATACAATCTCAATTAGATTTGAAAAGTAGAGTCCATTATTTAATTGCATTTTAAAATTATTTAATATAACCTATTTTATTCTCACTGAAATATGACTATACTTTCAAACTTTCAATGTTTTAGACAATTAAAATGTTTTAAAGCTTTTTTATTAAAATACAAAATATTAGCTCCAGTTATGATAAACCTGAAATTAGTGTAATCCTAACTATTACTTTCAAAGCAGGATGTCATTTATGTGTACAGGATGTTTGTGAAGTTAACTTTTGTGTGTCTTTTATTTAAAAAGTTAAAATATAAATAATGTTGACATATTTTCTTTCAGTAAAATAACACATGCTCTTTGGCTGTGTCAGGAGATCATAGGGGGATAGATTGTATGGTAATTGAAAATGGAGAAATTTATACATACCAAAGTGAAAATTTCCCCATATCCAACCACTCATTCTTCATGGGTAACCACTGTTAACAGTTTGCTTGTATGTCTTTCCAGACATATGTCTCTCAGAATTCCAAAAAACCCCACATGTACATTTAATCAATTGCTAATATGCTACAATTTCTGTTCTGAAACTACTATATTTTTATATTTTATATAATAGGAGTCTCTCTCATTATATATCCTAAATTTGAATTTTACCTAATGTGCTTAATAGATGTGTGACTTGAATAAATTCCTTTGTCTCTCTAAACTTTGGTGTCCTCATTTATAATTGCAGAAATCATTCTCAAATGAGTTAGTCTGGAAAATGTTTACTCTCTAGGTGGGGTGACTATTCATCCTGAATTTTGCCTATTGCCCCAGGAAAATTATTAATAGTGTTACTTTTCTCTGTCTGAATTGTGCTGGTATGGAGGTTAATATATATAATCCTACCTATAGGGTTTCTGGGAGGATTACTAAAGATAGTGTCTTGTGTGTTGTAAGAGTTCCATATATTTAACTTATGAGTAAAATTATACACACACATATATCTATATAAACATACACATATGTATGATGCTAAGTCAACATATACATAAATTACCCTAGTGTTTTCACTTTAATTTACAAGATGAAACTTAGATATATGCAGACTTACACAAAGTCAGGATTATTACAGATCCATTAAAATTTTAGATTTAGAGCAAACATCTCAGAATAAACCAATTCTGATGTAATTAAAATAGACTTTATAATATTGGTTGTACAGGTCTATCATCCAGTTAAAACATAACAATATGTAAACAGAAGCCACTATTGAAACTGAAATGCAATGGTTGCACTTTTCACACGTATCTAGTGTAAAAATAGGGTATTTTCATTGATTTATATCTCTTTTTATAAAAAAATTAATCATCTAGAATCTTAATGTGCTCTTATTTAAATGAAAACACAATGGATGGATAATTCCAGTGTTCAAAGACTAAGGTAGCTATTTCTGCAAGAAAAAAATACAGCATTAAATAAGCCAAGATGAAAGCTACAAATGGGAAAAATCATGTCACAAATACCAACATCTCAACTCTTTGTTAATAATTCTTTATTAACAGTTCTATAGGGAAATACTTAAATTGTATGTTTTCTTTGTCAAACATACAAATTCTCTTTCAGCTTTTTGAACATATCTAAAAGTTTATTCCATTTTCCATTTATTATTTAAAAAATTGTTCAACAATACCTTCAACTATTTATTTATATTTATAGCTTTATGTAGATTATCATGATATTTTGCAAATGACTACTTATGTTGTAAATGAGAATCTTAAAAGCATTTGGAGGAACTTTTTGTAACAATAGAAGTATGAATCATGGTAAACCAGATACACTCAGAGACACAACTTCAAATTAGTCAATTAGTACGCTATTTACGGGACTAGGGAAATTGTCATAGCAAGTGCATGGCCCTTTTTTGGAGTTTCTTTAATAAATATAAACAATCGAGAAATAATAAATAATTAATGCCAGCACATTTAAGTACCAAACAAGGGTTATAGCCAAATAATAGGTTAGGCTTTGTGGCATATGTTGATAAACATCAAAAGAAAAATTTAAAACTATCATTGGTTGCTGATTTGAAATGTCTGAAAATAGAGCAGAAACTGTTGTATTTCATTTTAAGCATATTAATTCTCTTGGATTATTAATTTATTCATACATTGTGTTACAAAAATAAAGCATAATATAAAAAAATAAGTAGAATGGTTAGTAGTATTCAGATTTTTTTTAGCAGTAGACTTTTGTTGAAGAAAATCAGGCAAAGTTGAACTTGGAAAAAACATTGTACCGAGATTTTTTATGCACCTTGTATAAAAGGATTGGGACTTTATTTCAGAGGTGAAAAAAATTTTGTTATTCAAATATGCCTTTTAAAAAAGAAATTCTTCGCAATCAGAAAATAATTTAAGATCATTAGTCTGAATTCATTAAAAAATAGTTCATTGCTTCAATTATGGGGAACAAATTAATTTTCATGTTTCTATAAATATAATTCCTCCTACTAAATCTGTATGTTAAAGGTGTGAGTATCTAGGCCTTTGGAATTTATTCCTTATAATGGCTCCTTGTTTCACATCAGGCCTAATCTTCAAAGTTAAAGTTTTGTAAGATCAAAGCATTTCTGAGTCACAATAATAAGCAGAATGAAACACATCTGGTATAGTCCAGTTGTTCTCAACACAGTAGGTCAGAGTCAGGCAGGCTGCAGACATATCTTCTCAAAGAGATTTACCCACTTCGACAGAAGAGTTGATGGGGTGACTTGCATCCAATCAATCTTTATGTCAGATGCTTTCCATCACAGTAATAAAACATTAAAATAATACACTGCAAGTTACTGTATATGACTTCTAACCTTTGCATTATTAACCAGGATTAAATGGTAATCATCATTATCCTCCTACTTATTCTTAAGTCTCTCTTTTAATGACTCCTTAAGCCCTCTTATCATTTGCTGTGAAACAATTTTCAAGTTTGTTGTTTAGTCAGCTTCTTTATAACTTTGAGCATCCTTCTTCATCTTATAACTGTCCTTAATATGTGATATTTCTTCTAATAAGAATGGGGCCTATAAAGCAGATATGCAGGGTGATGAAGAAAATTTTGGAGTTTTTCCAGTGAAATTTCACATAAAATTTTAGGGGATAGGTAATCGCTCCCAAATTTTTGTAGCTTAATTTTGATTACAGTTTATATTCCATAGTCAGAAATTTTCCCCCTTAATTTTAGAATTATTTCTGTATTTTTCAAATGTAAATGTACTTTAAAAGGTCAGAAAATAATTTTATTTTGTAAAAATACAGTGATTTAACTTTTTAAGGACTGTTATTTTATGTCATTTGTTGTAAAGAATCCATTCTTTGTCCTCAATTTTTCTGTTCTACTTTGGTTAGTCATGACATTACTTATACTAGATAAAATTTCCATGGCAGTGCAGTTAATAATCCGTAAGAACAAATATTTTTGTTTAAAAAAATTACCTTTTGAAAATAGCAAAACACTTTTAGTTCTTAAATCTTCATTATATTGCTGGAACTAGATGGAAAATTTGTTATTATTGCTTTACTAATTCAGTCACAGAGTCACAGAAGTATTAAGGAAATTTCTCAAGGCTGTGATGCTCCAAGGACTCATGAATTTACTTGTTTCATTAAATCAGCAGAGCTGTACCTAATTAATGAATTATTAAGAAAAATCATCATAATTTAGAACTCTAAATTATTATGGAGAGTCTCTCAAAATAAAAAGGTACAAATTTTCAGTCAGTTGCTTTTTGAAATTAAATTTTAGAAAAGAATTAAATTGACACTCAATTTCTGCTCAGGTATATAGAGAGCCAGAAGGATTATCATTCTCAACCTTACAACAAAAACAACAAAAGTCAAGTAAACAAGAAGTTTGTTTTAGTGTAGGTGTTGATTTGCCAGAAGTCTGTATATTTTTTAAACGCATCAGAGCATGGAGGTTGCAGGGCCCAAAATCTAAGGAGAGGCAGGCACCTGTGAGTATGGCATAAAACCAGAACACTGGCTTATCTGGGCAGGCTGCTCCTGGATTCCTGTAGAGTTCAAGTAAGATGATTGGCAAATTTCTGAAGTCTTAGTGTGCACATACCCCACCAAATAAGTTCGAGAGAGTCCAGAAAAACTCTGCAGTGTAGGGAGACAGAACCAAAGGAGAGGAGAATAGAAACCAATGCAAAAGCAGTAAGGAACTCTGGGGGCATTCTCCCTCATCTCCACTAAGGAAGAAATGCAATAATCTCTGAGACAAAGGAAACGAATTGTCCTCAGGCACTGGAGAAAACCCACTACTGCTGGGAGAAAGGGACAGGCCATGAACCATATACCCCTGGCAAATAAGGACTGGGCTCAAAACTGTGCTGGAGAGAGAATCATTAAAGAGGTAATGAATCCACCTTTGCAAAAATTATAACTGAGAAAATTTTGACAGTGAAAAATATCTGATGTAACTGACTAAATCTTGCTTCTAACCTCCAAGCTGTCCTTGTTCATTCCTGGGCATAGGCCAAGATAACTTTGTGGAGAGGTGGGAGGTGGAACTTAGTTTATAGTTTAATTTTTAGACCGAGATGATAACAGCCCTTTCCCAAAACAAACTCCCTTCCTGCCTGGGGACTAGACTGTCTTTGCAGGACTAAGAAATTAGCCACAAGATTAGAAATTATGGTTTAGGAGTCACGCAGCTGTAGGCTGCAGGATACTGAACCTCCCCAAATTGCTCCTGGGGATAACATCCTTAATATAAAACCTAAGATCAGTGCTTGAGATATTTTGCAGATCCTGTACACCATGGATCAGCTGGAAACACCCAGATCAATAAACTGGCTCATCTAGTCTTGTGGTCTCCACCCAGGAACGGACTCAGTGCAAGAGGACAGCTTCTACTGACCACGATTTTATCTCTGATTCTATCAATCAGTATTCCCCACTTTCCGACCCCTTACCCACCAAATTATCCTTAAAAACCCAAATCCCCTGGTTTTCAGGAAGACTAATTTGAATAATAATAAAACTCCAGATGTCTGTGTGAATTAAACTCTTTCCCTACTGCAATTCCCCTGTCTTGATAAATCTGCTGTCTGGGCACTGGGCAAGGAGAACTCACTGGGTAGTTACAGTAATATCCCAGAGACCCAGGGACACCCTATCTACCTTGTAGTTAAATTTTATCAGAACAACATTGAATTCCCCACCTTTACCATCAAGTTAACAAATGTTCAATAAAGAAAGAATTACTTGCAGGAAACAAAGCATTTCTGAGGTGCAGTACAAAGGGAAAACCTAAACCTCACAGTAGAGTAAATAATGGGGGGAAAATTCTGGCAAATCAACACCTACACTAAACAAAATAATCCCTAAAAGATTTTAATGGCTGTGTTGTACTAAAACTAACAATAGCAACAATAAACCTAAAACCCAGTTCAAGTCTTAATTAGATCAACTAAATCCAACTTACTGGAGGCTTAGCACAAGGAAATACATGTCCATTTCAAGGCATAAGAACTCTTTGTTGTCAAAAAATGATGAGTGTTTGAGCTTTAGCCCTGTTTGCAGGCTAACAAGTTAATTTGTCACAGTTTCGTGAATCCTGGCATAAGAGAGCAAGAGTCAGAGACAAAGGATAGTCTTTCAACATACACCAATGAAACAGTTGGAAATCTATATGCAAAACAAAGCAAAATGAAGGAAAACCTTTAAGTTGCTTTATAGTTTCTTTAAAAGAATTCAAATGGTTCTTAGAATGAATTAAAAAATGGTTTATACACTATAAAACTTCTCAAAAAATTCATAGAATATCTGTGTGATCTTGGTTTTGGTGAAGGGTTTTTATATAGTGTAGCAAAAGAACAACCTATAACAGAAAAAAAAATTGAATGATAACCAAATTAAAAATATTTGTCCTATTAATGATACTTTTAAGAGAATGAAAAGATAAGCCACAATAGAAAATTTTTGAAAATTATATATCTGATAAAGGACTTCTATTCAGAATAACCCCCAAAGCTTCACAATAGGAAAATAAACAGCAGATAAAAAATGGTCAGAATTTGAAAAGACATTTTACTAAAGAAATTGTAAATATGATGATATGGTTTGGCTGCGTCCCCACCCAAATCTCATCTTGAATTGTAGTTCCCGTAATCCCCATGTGTCATGGAAGGGACCTGGTGGGAGGGAGTTTAATCATGGGGGCAGTTACCCTCATGCTCTTCTTGTGATAGTGAGTGAGTTCTCACTAGATCTGATGGTTTTACAAGCGGCTTTTCCCCCTTTTGCTCAGCACTTCTTCTTGCCTGCTGCCATGTAAGACATGTCTTGCTTCCCCTTTGCCTTCTGCCATGATTGTGAGGCCTCCCCAGACATGTGGAACTTAGAGTCAGTTAAACTTCTTTCCTTTAAAAATTACCCAGCCAAATTCACACATAACAATATTAACTTTAAATGTAAACAGACTAAATGCTCCAATTAAAAGACACAGACTGGCAAATTGGATAAAGACTCAAGACCCATCAGTGTGCTGTACCCAGGAAACCCATCTCACGTGCAGAGACACACATAGGCTCAAAATAAAAGGATGGAGGAAGATCTACCAAGCAAATGGAAAACAAAAAAAGGCAGGGGTTGCAATCCTACTCTCTGATAAAACAGACTTTAAACCAACAAAGATCAAAAGAGACAAAGAAGGCCATTACATAATGGTAAAGGGATCAATTCAACAAGAAGAGCTAACTATCCTAAATATATATGCACCCAATACAAGAGCACCCAGATTCATAAAGCAAGGCCTGAGTGACCTACAAAGAGACTTAGACTCCCACACATTAATAATGGGAGACTTTAACACCCCACTGTCAACATTAGACAGATCAACGAGACAGAAAGTCAACAAGGATACCCAGGAATTGAACTCAGCTCTGCACCAAGTGGACCTAATAGACATCTACAGAACTCTCCACCCCAAATCAACAGAATATACATTTTTTTCAGCACCACACCACACCTATTCCAAAACTGACCACATACTTGGAAGTAAAGCTCTCCTCAGCAAATGTAAAACAACAGAAATTATAACAAACTGTCTCTCAGACCACAGTGCAATCAAACTAGAACTCAGGATTAAGAATCTCACTCAAAACCGCTCAACTACATGGAAACTGAACAACCTGCTCCTGATTGACTACTGGGTACATAAGGAAATGAAGGCAGAAATAAAGACATTCTTTGAAACCAACGAGAACAAAGACACAACATGCCAGAATCTCTAGGACACATTCAAAGCAGTGTGTAGAGGGAAATTTATAGCACTAAATGCCCACAAGAGAAAGCAGGAAAGATCCAAAATTGACACCCTAACATCACAATTAAAAGAACTAGAAAAGCAGAGCAAACACATTCAAAAGCTAGCAGAAGGCAAGAAATAACTAAAATCAGAGCAGAATTGAAGGAAATAGATACACAAAAAACCCTTCAAAAAAATTAATGAATCCAGGAGCTGGTTTTTTGAAAGGATCAACAAAATTGATAGACTGCTAGCAAGACTAATAAAGAAAAAAAGAGAGAAGAATCAAATAGACGTAATAAAAAATGATAAAGGGGATATCACCACCGATCCCACAGAAATACAAACTACCATCAGAGAATACTACAAACACCTCCACGCAAATAAACTAGAAAATCTAGAAGAAATGGATAAATTCCTCGACACATACACTCCCCCAAGACTAAACCAGGAAGAAGTTGAATCTCTGAATAGACCAATAACAGGAGCTGAAATTGTGGCAATAATCAATAGCTTACCAACCAAAAAGAGTCCAGGACCAGATGGATTCACAGCCGAATTCTACCAGAGGTACAAGGAGGAACTGGTACCATTCCTTCTGAAATTATTCCAATCAATAGAAAAAGAGGGAATCCTCCCTAACTCATTTTATGAGGCCAGCATCATCCTGATACCAAAGCCGGGCAGAGACACAACCAAAAAAGAGAATTTTAGACCAATATCCTTGATGAACATTGACTCAATAAAATACTGGCAAAGCAAATCCAGCAGCACATCAAAAAGCTTATCCACCATGATCAAGTGGGCTTCATCCCTGGGATGCAAGGCTGGTTCAGTATATACAAATCAATAAATGTAATCCAGCATATAAACAGAACCAAAGACAAAAACCACATGATTATCTCAATAGATGCAGAAAAGGCCTTTGACAAAATTCAACAACCCTTCAGGCTAAAAATTCTCAATAAATTAGGTATTGATGGGACGTATCTCAAAATAATAAGAGCTATCTATGACAAACCCACAGCCAACATCATACTGAATGGGCAAAAACTGGAAGCATTCCCTTTGAAAACTGGCACAAGACAGGGATGCCCTCTCCCACCACTCCTATTCAACATAGTGTTGGAAGTTCTGGCCAGGGCAATTAGGCAGGAGAAGGAAATAAAGGGTATTCAGTTAGGAAAAGAGGAAGTCAAATTGTCCCCGTTTGCAGACGACATGATTGTATATCTAGAAAACCCCATTGTCTCAGCCCAAAATCTCCTTAAGCTGATAAGCAACTTCAGCAAAGTCTCAGGATACAAAATCAATGTACAAAAATCACAAGCATTCTTATACACCAACAAAAGACAAACAGAGAGCCAAATTATGAATGAACTCCCACTCACAATTGCTTCAAAGAGAATAAAATACCTAGGAATCCAACTTACAAGGGATGTGAAGGACCTCTTCAAGGAGAACTACAAACCACTGCTCAAGGAAATAAAAGAGGATACAAACAAATGGAAGAACTTTCCATGCTCATGGGTAGGAAGAATCAATATCGTGAAAATGGCCATACTGCCCAGGGTAATTTATAGATCCAATGCCATCCCCATCAAGCTACCAAT
This sequence comes from Homo sapiens, assembly GCF_000001405.40. Lineage (NCBI taxonomy): Eukaryota > Metazoa > Chordata > Mammalia > Primates > Hominidae > Homo > Homo sapiens. Next base: position 92,200,946 of record NC_000004.12, on the reverse strand, counting down.
GACTTTCTTCACAGAACTGGAAAAAACTACTTTAAAGTTCATATGGAACCAAAAAAGAGCCCGCATCGCCAAGTCAATCCTAAGCCAAAAGAACAAAGCTGGAGGCATCACACTACCTGACTTCAAACTATACTACAAGGCTATAGTAACCAAAACAGCATGTTACTGGTACCAAAACAGAGATATAGGTCAATGGAACAGAACAGAGCCCTCAGAAGTAACGCTGTGTATCTACAACTATCTGATCTTTGACAAACCTGAGAAAAATAAGCAATGGAGAAAGGATTCCCTGTTTAATAAATGGTGCTGGGAAAACTGGCTAGCCATATGTAGAAAGCTGAAACTGGATCCCTTCCTTACACCTTATACAAAAATCAATTCAAGATGGATTAAAGACTTAAACGTTAGACCTAAAACCATAAAAACCCTAGAAGAAAACCTAGGCATTACCATTCAGCACATAGGCATGGGCAAGGACTTCATGTCTAAAACACCAAAAGCAATGGCAACAAAAGCCAAAATTGACAAATGGGATCTAATTAAACTAAAGAGCTTCTGCACAGCAAAAGAAACTACCATCAGAGTGAACAGGCAACCTACAAAATGGGAGAAAATTTTCGCAACCTACTCATCTGACAAAGGGCTAATATCCAGAATCTACAATGAACTCAAACAAATTTACAAGAAAAAAACAAAAACCCCATCAAAAAGTGGGTGAAGGACATGAACAGACAGTTCTCAAAAGAAGACATTTATGCAGCCAAAAAACACATGAAAAAATGCTCATCATCACTGGCCATCAGAGAAATGCAAATCAAAACCACAATGAGATACCATCTCACACCAGTTAGAATGGCAATCATTAAAAAGTCAGGAAACAACAGGTGCTGGAGAGGATGTGGAGAAATAGGAACACTTTTACACTGTTGGTGGGACTGTAAACTAGTTCAACCATTGTGGAAGTCAGTGTGGTGATTCCTCAGGGATCTAGAACTAGAAATACCATTTGACCCAGCCATCCCATTACTGGGTATATAACCAAAGGATTATAAATGATGCTGCTATAAAGACACATGCACACGTATGTTTACTGCGGCATTATTCACGATAGCAAAGACTTGGGACCAACCCAAATGTCCAACAATGATAGACTGGATTAAGAAAATGTGGCACATATACACCATGGAATACTATGCAGCCATAAAAAATGATGAGTTCACATCCTTTGTAGGGACATGGATGAAATTGGAAATCATCATTCTCAGTAAACTATCGCAAGAACAAAAAACCAAACACCGCATGTTCTCACTCATAGGTGGGAATTGAACAATGAGAACACATGGACACAGGAAGGGGAACATCACACTCTGGGGACTGTTGTGGGGTGGGGGGAGGGGGGAGGGAAAGCATTGGGAGATATACCTAATGCTAGATGATGAGTTAGCGGGTGCAGCACACCAGCATGGCACATGTAAACATATGTAACTAACCTGCACATTGTGCATATGTACCCTGAAACTTAAAGTATAATAATAATAAATTAAAAAAATAAAAAAATAAAATAAAATGTAAAAAAAAAGAAAAAGAAAATTGTAAAAAAAAACAAAAATAAAAATAAAAATAAAAATAAATAAAAAATAACAATTACCCAGCCTCGAGTATGTCTTTGCTAGCAGCAAGAGAACAGACCAATACATATGACATATGAGTATTTTAAAACATGCACAATATTATTCTTCATTAGGAAAATGTAAGGTCAAACTATAGTGTGATGCCATTACAAAGCTATCAAAATGGCAAAACAAAACAAACAATAACAAAACCTGACAATACTAAGAATCAGCGAGTATGCAGAGCAACTGAAACTGCCCTACATTGATGGTACGAACTTATGGCCACTTTGAGAAAACTGCTTGAATTATTTTTAAAAAATTCTCTTAAATGGTTTATTTCTCCTGCTTCATCATGGCCAAAATATTCAGAGAGCATTATTATACTTGTGACTCATATTTTCCAATTTTTTTTTTAACTTTTATTTTAAGTAACAACACACACTCACTGAGGCCTATTAGGGGGTAGAGGGTAACAGGGAGAGGTTCAGGAAAAATAACTATTAGGTACTAAGCCTAATACCTGGGTGATGAAATAATCTGCACAACGAACTCCCATGACACAAGTTTACTTATGTAACTAACTTGCACACGGTTGTGTTTTATAAAGTTAAATGTACACTTACCATCCAACCCCATCAATCTTACTCTGTTTTTTGACCACGTGAATTCAAAACTTACCTTCACACAAAAACTTGGACATCAATTTTTGTATAAGCAGCTTTATTATAACAACAAAAAACTTGAAAGAACCCAGAAGTTCTTAAATGGGTGAATTAATATATGGTAGTATACTCATACAATAGAATACAACTCAGCAACCAAAAAGAGCATGATGTAGTGTTTTATACAGCAACATAAATAAATCTTATGCGTTTTGATAAGTGAGAGAAACAAAACCCTAAGAGTACATGTTTTATGATGTTTCCATTTATATGACATTCTGGAAAAGGCAAAATTATAAGGATTAGTTGCTGGTTCCCAGGGTTTGGGGGTGGGTGGAGCATAGAGCAACTTTGGGGGTGATGAAACTCTTCTGTATGACATTATGATAGTAGACAAAAATCTATGCATTTGCCAAAGCCCATAGAACTGTACAAAAAAAGAGACAATTTTACTGTATGCAAATAAAAATTTCACCAGAATATATAGGAAACAAGAAGGACCATAGACTGTGACAAATGAATTCAACCTTATTACACATCAATGACATCTCTAAATATAGGGAGTGGAGAAGAAAAGCTCTTACCGAAGTAACTTTAGAAAACAGTGTTTTGACTGGATATTGTGAAGCTAAAAACAAAATAACTGTACACAAACTCTGTACTCTGATTAAAATGGCTACTTCTCACAAGGAAACCGGTCAGATTCTGAAACTATTTTATAGCTATACTTGGACTGAATAAATGGGCAAATATAGATAAAGAGAATTGTTAAAGATAGATGTCATAATTAAGCAAAGAGAGAATGGAAAAAAACCCTGTGCTCCTGGAGCGGAGTCAAAGATATCTGTATAAAATATATATACACATGTAGATACACACAGAGAGAGAGATGGATATAGGTGGGTGTAAACATGGGTTAGTATATATACATATATAAGTTTTCTAGCTTTGTCTTCTGAGCAGCCTATAGGCAGTGTACCCTAGTAGCAGTGAACAAACTTGATGCCTCCCAACATATCTTTATTTTTAAATAGTATTCTCCTGTACAAGGAACCAGGACTCTTTAAAGATGTGATTGATTCTAGGGATATGCAAGAAAAATATAAATTAAATGTGGGTCATTTTATGTTCCTAGAAGGAAGTTTCAATTAAAAAGAGTGGGGCCTTTTGAAAGACCTAAGAATTAACCTGAAAGAGGTCCCAATCTCCAAAGCTGGAACAATTTGATCAGCAAAAAAAATGATAATGTTGAATTGTAGCATAATAAAATAATTGCTCATAAAATAAAATAAATACTCATATGCCAAACTGATATAAAGAAATAATAAAGAGAAGGGACAATTCCTTCTTACAGAAGAGTTTTAATTAATCAATTTTGAAGAAAGAAAGAAATAGAATATCATTGTTAGAACACTGTAATAATTACTGTAAGCATAAAATAGAGATTATTGTGCAAATTAAGAAGAGGATGTGTTTAATTAAAACAGTATATGTGCATAGTCTCAAAATATCTCCCCAAATAAATATTATTTACAAAGTATAAAAGTGTAACTTTACTAGAGAGACACCTGGAAGATACCATTTTCACCAAGTGATCAAAGTTAATATTATCAGTATTAAGACTTACAGTCACACACACCTTACATAAAGCACTAAGGGGCACCTCACCATTGTGGTGTTCTTTGCTCAAATCCATAACTTCAATCTAACTAGAGAAGACATTAGAAAAAACCAAACTGATGCACTTTCTATAAAACCATTAACCAGAGTTTTTCAAAAATGCCAAGGTCATAAAAAAACAAAGACAGACTTAGGAACTGTAACATATTAGAAAAGAGTAAGAAGACAAGACAAAGAAATGCAATGTAGGACTCTAGATTAGATCCTTGGACAGATAAAAAGATGTCAGTGGAAGAACTGGTGGAATCTGAATAAGCCTATAGTTTTGTTAATAATATTGTATCAGCATTAATTTCTTAGCTTTGATTGATGTAAGATGATTATGTAACATATGGGGAACTTGGAGAAAGGAATAAGGGAAGTCTCTTTACTGTCTTTGAAACACTTCTTTAACTCCAACATGATTTTAAAATAAAAAGATAAAGAGTTAAATTTCTCAGTGTTAGAATTTACTTTTTTAAGTGAGTATCTTTCAGAGCCTGGTATATGGGAGTCCTCTGCAAAAGGTATTCTATATTAAATACAAGATATACATGTTCTTCTGCTAAAAGATCATGAATCTAAGAAAAATCTTTAACTCAATGTAAGGTTTTTAACTTTTTAATCATAACAATATTTTATATAACTCAGGCCATGTTTATGTTGACTAAGCCATTCCGAGTGTGTGTATGTGTGTGTGTGTGTGTATATATATATATATATATACACATATATATCTATAAAATAGATTAGCATATACTATGATTCTTTTACAGTGTATGAAGATCAAGCGAAAGACTACTGCACTTGAAACACTTAAGTTTGACTCTCAAATCTGCTGCTGATAGTATTATGTGAATGGGACATGATTTGCTTTAATAAGTCTCAAATTTGCAGTTATAAACTGTATAAATTGAAGGTAATAATTATCTTTCTGGATCACCATTTTAACAGATTTATTAAAAAATATAAATTATTTTTCTAATTTATATATGACATTTAGGGAAACAGAAAATTTAGAAGCATAGGGAGAAAAAGAATTACTCACTGTATATTTATTTCTTCTCTTCATTTCTATGCATGTGTTTACATAATAGGAATCACATTACATAAATTGTTTTGTTACTTAACTTTAAAAATGTAGTTAATTAATTAGTTTATTTAGACTATTTTCTAGAGCAGTTTTAGATACATAGCAAAATTTTGCAGAAGGTACAAAGATATCCCAAATACCTCCTCAGATATATACTCCCCTATTATCAACATTCTCCACCAGAGTGGTACATTTTTTTTAAATAATTGATGAATATACATTGACACATCCTCATCACTCAGAGTCCATAGATTACATTAGGGTTCATTCTTGATGTTGTACACTCTGTGGGCTTGGACATAGATAATAATATGTACATTCCATTATAGCAAGATACAGAGTAGTTTCACTGGTCTAAAAGTTACTTTTTTTTCATTTAACATTGTAACAGTAAAATTTCTGATGCTATCACACATTATTTGCAAGTAAATCTAATTGCTGCATTATATTACAATGTCATATGCATATGTGTATATATACATATTATATATGTGTATATTATATTCAAATATTCATATGTGAATATATGAATATTTAGGTGTTTTCAAGCTTTTTCTTATTGTAAACAATCCCTCGATGACCCTGTATATTTTTCCCTGTATCTGGGTTCATTTTCTACTTGTAGGTCAATTTCCCAGATATTTAACTTTGAGATGGATGGATTTCTTCAAGGAAGGTGGCAGGGAAGAGCGCTGAATTGGGTAGAGGGAGAATTTGGGCTTTGATGCATGATCAAAGTGATCTCAGAGAACTTCATGTGAAACTGTAAGCTGAAATACTCCTTCAGACTTATCCTGAGTTGAGGTAGAAGGGCTAAATCTTTTTACCAATGCATTTACTAGTTACCGGTTGTGAGGTGGTTAAGGGAAGGGAGCAAGACTTCAGGTAAGAAGGATTTACACAGCATAGCTGTTCCCAAAGAGGGTTTTCTGCTGCCGACATTCCCAAGAAAAAGTGGAGGAATAAGTTCTTTCCTGATGGTCTGGCACACCACAGCATCTAACATAAAGGCTGTCACAATTTTCAAGCCTCTTTATATATTCTAGCAAATATCTCTCCAAAACTGTTGTATAATTGCAATTAGTGCTGACGTATTAACAGCTAAAAGTTGCTTTAAAACAGTTCACATAATAAATTCTTTTTCTATTTAGTTTGTTCATGAAATACCTCACTACATAAACTTTAAAAAATATTATCTGGTCTTACTTGTATATTTAATTTTACTTAGATTTTATGAAATGTTTAAATATGTTTTCTTATCTCAAAATTAGAAAAATATTCTATTATATTTGGCTTCATAATTTATAGTTTATTTCCATATATAATCTTGCAGAAATTTATTTTTGTATTTAACATTATATAGGAAATAAACTTTTTCTGTTTCCAAACACGTAGTCATTTCATGAATAATCAAATCTTTCCTCATTGATTTGAAGTGCCACCTTTATTACATAGTAAATTATCATATACACATATTCTCCATGCTTTCCATTGATCTATTTGACTATTCCTTCATCAGCCCCACACTTTCCATTAATAAAGATTTATGATGAAAACCTCTCTCCATACTTCTTTTTTTCTCATTATTTCCTTAGCTATTTCATACATTTAATCTCCAAGATGAAATTTAGAATCAGTATGTCAAGTTATAAAACAACCACAACCACAAAAAAGCAAACAAATCAAAAAGAGATTTAGGATGGATTTTTATTGAATTTATGTATTAATTTTGAAAGAATTGGCATCTTTACAGTACTCTTTTCCTCCAAGCATGTGAATCTATTTCATTTACTGACATCTTTTATGTTGTCACAGTATTTTTTTCAGGTGATTTGGTATTCGGTTCAAGCATAGATAAGAAATAGAATGGAATATCTGTATAAATCGATTCTAGGAAGAGTTTGGGTCAGGATGACCTAGAATGTTGGCAGTCTGTTTCTGTCTAAATTTCCAAACTATAAAATCTGTACATTTGAATGTTTGTATAAACTTCAAGCATCCCACAGTACAATCTTTTTTAAGTTCCTTTTTGTCTACGTTTTATATAATATTTTTGTGTGCAGCAGTATTTTAGCATCTTCTCTCAAAGGAAGGGCATTCAATAACTTTAAAAAAAAAAAACAGACCAACATAATAGTTGATCTGAGACCAAGATTTGTTTTCTGTGACAATGTTCTCAGATTTTTCTTTTTCATAAAAGTAATTTTTTAACTTTTACCTATAAAGTATATTGCCTTTCATTTTTATAGAAGTCATTCCAAATGCAAAGGTTAATAATTTCTCATTATTTCTTTGTAATAATTTATAGTGTGATTCTTATATCAAATTATTTAATATACGTTATGATTATACAATCAACATATTTTTGTGAACAATTTGGAAAATATAAATAACCCTTCCCCAATTATATTTTGCAATTAATAGCAAACCTAAGAAACCACTGTCTACAGATTTAAGTATTTCTCTATTATTTTAATATAAAAATAACAAAGCAGGTATTTTAAAACTTTTATAAGATACTTTCCCAAATACTCATAATACAAAAAGATTATACTGAAGTATTTAATATCATGGAATAATGTTTGAAGTATATATTTCTTTATATATACATTATATAATAATATATAATAATTCCAAAATGTTAAACATACTTCAGCATAATCTTTTTAAGTGATACATAATATCCTACTATATAACATTAGAATATATTGAACTAATCCATTACATGTGGCTTACTAGGTTATTTTCAATCTTGGTTCTCAGAAAAAGTGCTGAATCTAAGCAAATGCTTACTTCCTTAGTATCAGTACCTAATACTGAAATTACCAATAGAGAATATAGTTTTTTTTTTGTGATTTGAATGTATATTGCCAAACTGTGCTCTGATAATTTGGTATCGGTTCACATTTGCATACATACGTTTGAACTCCATGTGCCAGACCAATTTTTAGTCATGAGAATGCAGCAGTGAATTAAACAAACAAACACCTAAGACTTCATGGAGCTTACATTATAGAAAGAAAGCAAAAATCATCAAGATAAATAGATTTATTTATACATACACTTTATATCATCATTATGAACTGAAGTGTATACTGAATTCATATGTCAAAGCCCAAACTTCCAATATTATTATATTTTAAGAAAGAACTTTGAAGAGATAATCAAAGTTTAAGGAGGTCATAAGGATCAGATCCCACTCCTTTAGGACTTACAGCCTTATAAGAAGGGAAGAGGGAAAGCTCTTTCTCACTTTCTACAGGCATCAACCAAGAAATGGCCATGTGAGCATACAGCAAAAAAGGGACTATCTGTAAGCCAGGAAGAAACCTACACCAGAACCGAACCACACATCCATGCTGGAACCCTGATGGCAGACTTCCCGCAACCGTGAGAATATAAGTTTTTGTAGTTAATAGTCATAGAAATAATAAATCAATAGAAAGAGCAATACCTCTTAGATAGATAGACACCTAGATGCATAGATACATAGATGAAAGAAAGAAATTTTAATAAACTCACCCCAGTTTTTCTGCTGAGAATGTACTGGAGAACTGCAAGGGTATAATAGGGATACCACTTAAGAGACTATTGCAGTACTTTAGACACATGGTAGTGGTTTGGACCAGATTATTGATAGCATGAGTAGCAATAACTAGTCAAATTTTGAATATATTTCTAAAATAGATGTAATAAGATTTTATTTTTGATTGGATATGGTGGCAGATAGTGAAATATAAATAACACCAAGGTTCTGGCCTGAGAAAGTTGTCAAGGGTGCTGAAGTTTTACAGAGTGTAGAGAGAGTCTCACTGACAAGATGTCAATAAATATATTAAGATAATAAGGAAGCCAGTATGCAGATATTTGGATAAGAGCATTTCTAGGCAGAAGGAACAGAAGTGTAAAGGTCCTAAGGTTAATATATTTGTTATGTAATCAAGAGACAACAAAAAAGGCACTGCTACTATAGTACACCAAGTAAGTGGAAGAATAGTTGCTGATGAGGTTGAAGAGATATTTTTGGAGCAAGACGATACAAAACGTAGTAAAGACGGGCTTTAATCTAATTCTATGCAAAATAGTCAAAAGTCTCCAATAGAACCTTTCTTTATTTCTTTTTTTTCTTTCTTTCTTTCTTTCTTTCTTTCTTTCTTTCTTTTCTTTCCTTTTTCTTTCTTTTTTCATCTATGTATCCATGTATCTATGTATCTATGTAACTATCTATCTATCTATCTATCTATCTATCTATCTAAAGAGGAGACTTATTAAGAGAATTAGCTTTCATGATTATGAAGGCAGAGAAGTCCCATAATATGCTGTCTGTAAGCTGATAAAGTAAGAAAGTTGGTAGTATAATTCAGTTAAAGTCCAAAGGCCTATGTAACAGCAAACAGGGGAGCTGGTGTGACTCCCAGTCTGAGGTTGAAGAGAGGTAGAGGTGGGGGATGCTGATGTAAGTCCTGAGTCTCGAGGCCCAAGGGCAAGAGAAGATGGATTTCATAGCTCAAAAAATGAGAGAGAGTTCACCCTTTCTTAGTTTTTTTGTTCCATTCAGGCCCTCAACAGAGTGGATTTTGCCCACATACATTGGTTAGGATCTATCTTTCTTGCTCAGTCTACTGATTCAAATGCTAATCTCTTCTAGAAACTCCATCACAGAAATATCCAGAAATAATGTTTTGCTAGCTATCTAGGAATCCCTTAATCTAGCCAAGTTGATAAATACAATTATGACATGATATGACATACATTTTAATAAGCTCACCCAGTTTTTCTGCTGAGAATGTACTGGAGAACTACAAGGGTATAATAGGGATACTATTTAGGAGACTATTGCAGTACTTTAGACACATGGTAGTGGTTTGGACCAGATTATTGATAGCATGAGTAGCAATGACTAGTCAAATTTTGAATATATTTCTAAAATAGATGTAATAAGATTTTATTTTTGATTGGATATGGTGGCAGATAGTGAAATATAAATAACACCAAGGTTTTGGCCTGATAAAGTGCAAGAATAGAATTATTAACTCATGTAGGGAATTACGGAAAACTACAGAGAACATTTTGGAGGAGAAGTAAAAAGCAGGTTTTTGGATGTGTTAAATTTGAGATGCTTATTAGATGTTTCAGTAGAAATGTCAGTTGGCAGTTGGATATGTGAGTCTGGGAATTAGGGAGAGGAAGAAGGTAGAGATCTTCAGGATACAAATCTGAAGCTATGAGATTGGGGATCACATATGGTGAGAGTGAAGATAAAAATATTCCAGTGATTAGCTCCAGTGTACACCAATATTTCAGGGTTGGGAGTTGAGAAAGAAGAAGCAAAAAGACTAAGAAAAAAAGGCCAGGATTATCATAGGAGAGATACTAGTGAATGAAATGTCTTGGAAGCAAGTGAAAAAGGGTTCCAAATAGGAATGATCAAGTTCAGCTGATAGATTAAATTAAATGACCACCACATTTATTAATAATTGGAGACTATCATTGGTGACCTTGACATGGGCAGTTTCAGTGAATCAGACAGGGCAAATTCTAAATGAGGTAGATTCTAGAGAAAATGAGAGAATGTATGTATAGACAATACTTTCAGAAGTATTGCAGTAAAGGCTGCAAGATAAATGGAGGCAGTATCTAGAGAGAGAAATAGAAAAGAGATGTTTGAAGTTTCTTAAATTTGTGTATTACTTATTATTTGAGATGAGAAAATAATAAGGTTATTATTAATTATTAACCACATAAATAAGGTTAAATATTCCATTTAAATGATTCAATTGAGACGGAAAATTGATGAAGCAGAAAAAAAGAAAACTGTTGAAGTACTGTAGTTAAGTACTTGAGAAGGGATGGAGGAACTGGCGATCAGGCAGGAGCAGACACAATCCATCCATTGAAACAAGAGAGCAATGAAGAGAATATGGATGCTAATTAAATTAGGAGTGTAAGCAAGCTTTCTTGGTTCATCTTGTCAACATTAAAAATTAACATTATTTAAAAATGAATACAAATCTCAATTCAATTAGCTGGAGATAGGTATTGTAGATATAAGGTCAATGGACTTGAAATCTGCCTCCAAATTTTGGCCAAGTAAATGTATAAGTAATCAGAAATTAGATGGTGCTATAGTTTGGATGTTTGTCCTACCAAACCTCATGTTGAAGTTTGAGCCCTAATGTTGAAGGTATGTCCTAATGCAAGGTGTTTGGGTCATAGGGACATATCCCTCATGAATGTCTTCGTGCCATCCTCTTGGTAATGAGCAAGTTCTTGCTCAATTAGTTCTTGTTATCCTTCTGTAGTGAGTGAGTTCTTGCTCTGTTAGTTCTCCTGAAAGCTGGTTGTTAAAAAGATCCTGGCACCTCCCTCCTCTACCTCTTGTTCCTCTCTCACCATGTGATACCTGCATATGCTGGCTTCCCTTTGACTTCTGCCACCATGAGTGGAAGGAGCTGAGGCCCTCACCAGTGCCCAGCTGGAAGAACTTTCCAGCTGGAAGAACAATAAGCCAAATGAAGCTTTTTTTCTTTTTTCATACATCAGCCAGTCTCATGTATTACTTTATAGAAACACAAACAAAGACAGATGGCTTGCATTAAAAAGTGGAAGAATGAAGCAAATTCACATGGAGGAATAACAAATATTTTTAAAAAGTAGAGTACACAACTCCTCTAATAGATGACTTTGACATGACATTCTCAGTTCTACACTTCACATTTAGCAATTAAGTTCCATAAAAGTCCCAAGTATCCATCTAAATATGAGCAAATTTGCCTTAAATTCTATTCCATGATATCATATGTTTCATAATTAACTCATGTAGGGAGAGTGTGTGTGTGTCCACACACACTATCTAAAGGCCACACTCTCTCTAAAGGCCAAATGTTGTTTGGCCTTTAAATTTTGTTATGGGTATTTCTGCTTCTATGACTGAATATATCAGACTAACCATCCTACTAACAGGAGCTGTAAAAATAAGACTAAAAAAATGTTTTAAAAACCTGTTTGCAAGCCGGGCATGGTGGCTCATGCCTGTAATCCCAGCACTTTGGGAGGCCAAGGCAGGCAGATCACCTGAGGTCATGAGTTCAAGACCAGCCTGACCAACATGGAGAAACTCTATCTCTACTAAAAATACAAAATTAGCCGGGTGTGGCGGCAGGCGCCTGTAATCCCAGCTTCTCAGGAGGCTGAGGCAGGAGAATCCCTTGAACCCGGGAGGTGGAGGTTGCAGTGAGCCGAGATCATGCTGTGCCACTGCATTCCTGCCTGGGCGACAGAGCCAGAGACTCCACCAAAAAAAAATTATATATTTTTTATATTATATTTTTGTTTATTTATATATTATATATTTATATAATTTTATATAAATTATGTAGAATTTATATTATACGTATATATAATATACATACATATTTATATATTATATAACTATATAATATATAAATATACATATATATATACATATATATATATTATATATTATAAAGCAATCAAGGCAGCCAGGTCTTGATGGGCACAGTTTCTGCAGAGAAGAAACACATTGAGGTGAGATTACATTTCTTCTGGGTGCATTTGCTCATTCACTACACTGGACATAAACGTCAAACAGAAAACAACATTCTAGAGCCTGTGGCAGTCTCTGTGGGCTTTGTAGACAAAAATTGGAGCTCAAGGCTGCCAAAGCAACCATGATTTGAGGAGTCAAAATCTTGGAGGAAAGAAAAATACTGTATAGAGAAGTGAGCCTGATAGTCTTCCTGCAATTTCCTTTTGAGGCATTTACTGATTCTTGAACTGCATATGCCCAGGGCAAGTTATTGTGAATATAAGCAAAACACAGTTAATTAGAGGATAAAATGTTAAGTAAAGAGAGCAAAAGACTCATTTGGCTGGAAAGACAAAAACTGGAACTCAGGGATTACCAAATAGTAGAGGCACTTGTAAACACCCCAAACTTTCAGTTTGAGATTCAATTTTGGTTTTGCCCTGAAGATAAGAGAAATTAGAATAATGCCAGACCCCACACAACAAGAAGTTGAGCTAGAACTTATTCATGATGATCTTTTCATAGTCTATGCATTTTCCAAAAGTAAACTTATGAAAAACTGATGCCAAAGAAAAATTATAAAATCAACTATAGATAAACGACTCATTACCTTCAAGGAATAATAATAAAGGTAATGGCCAACTTTTCATCATAAGCCAGGGAAGCCAGAGAGCACAATGACAGACACCCTTACAGTGCTGAAATAACTGGCAAACTATAATTCTATATTCACTTAAAATATATTTCAGGCTGGTCATGGTGGCTCACGCCTGTAATTCCAGCACTTTGGGAGGCTGAGGTGGGCAGATCACCTGAGGTCAGGAGTTCCAGTCCAGCCTGGCCAACATGGTGAAACACCATCCTTACTAAAAATACAAAAATTAGTTAGACACAGTGGAGCGCGCCTGTAGTCTCAGCTACTCGGGGGGCTGAGGCTGGAGAATCGCTGGAACCTAGAAGGCAGAGTTGTAGTGAACCAAGATCGCACCACTGCACTCCAGCCGTGGTGACAAAAATTAGGTGAAATACATTTTCAGGAATAAAAAAGAAGGATTTTGTTATTAATGACATGCCACCAGAAGAGATATTAAATAATTTTTCAGGAAAGAAGATGATTTTGGATTGTTGTGGATTATAAAAGTGGCCATTTTTTTTACCCCCCCTCCACCTAGCTCCTTGTTGTCCCTGATCCTCCCATCAGGATTTGGAGTCTATGAAACCATCAATTGAACCCGTTTCCTAGGTTGTTATTGATTGCATTGTGCACCCCCAAAATTCATACGTTGAAGTTCTAACCACCAAGTACTTCAGAATGTGACTTTATTTGGAGATAGAGTTTTATATATGTATCAAGTTAAAGGGAGGTCATTAGGTCCTAATCCAATATGACTGTTGTTCTTATAAAAAGGGGAAATTTGGGCACAGATAGAAATGTATAGTGGGAAGACTATGTGATGAGACATTCTGGAAAGATGGTCATGTACAATCGATGGAGAGGGACCTGAAACCTTCTTCTTTCACAGCCCTCAGAAAAAATCCACCCTACTGACAACTTGATTTTGGACATCTAGTATGTAGAACATTGAGAAAATGTATTTCTGTTGTTTAAGCCACTCAGACTGTGGTACTTTGTTATACCAAATCTAGCAAACTAATACACAGGCATACTGCTTTAGACAATGGAAATTGGCAAACAGGACATAACCAGAAGCTTGAAAAGAGATTACGCCTTTTGGAAATTATGGAAAAGCTTATGGGAACTGCTTTCTTATCATTCTTTAGAACTCTGAAACCACTATGTGAAAAATAGTGGGCTAACATAGTGGAAGATGAAATACTCCTAAAGTCTTACAGCTGTGTCTTCCCAACTCAGACACATCCTAGACCAATGGCTTGTCAACTATCTCATACATGTGGCGGGCCATTCTAGATCATGCTGCAATCAGTTGGACTGCCAACTGACCACAAAAGCATGACAGAACCTAGCTATCAGTTGAGCCAGGTCACAACCAAGCTGATACATGGAAACTTGAGACTAATAAAATGTGGAATTGTCGGTTTCATATCAAAAGCTAAATAATCAAAGACAGAAGTAAGAAAATTCAGGAAAGGATGGAGAGTCCTGGAAAAGATAAATCTATGAGTAAATACAAATTATTTTTCACTGCATAAAATAAAACTAATAATATTTTGTGGTGTTGAAAATGTATCTCAATTAGAGTGAGATGAAAACTAGTGTAAAAGTGACAGTGTAAATAAAAGCAAGTGTTATAAGTTACTTGCCTTTATGAATTCCATATTTGTTTGTGTATTTAGGAAGGTTTTTCTCACAATGACACAAATATTTGTTTTTATGGCTTGGTTATTTATCTATAATATTATGGAGAAATAGCTATAATGTCTTCACGTTAATTTCCTCTACACACATCCATACACACACAATATTTTCTTCTAATACATCCATTTTATAAATTTTTAAATTTAAAAACTCAATAATTTTTAAAATTATCTACATGTGGTTGGAAAGTGTTAAAGGGTGAAAGTCTAAGTTATTTTTTCCCCAAATAACTAACCAATTGCTCTAATATCTTTTAAAACAAGCTTATCTAACCACAGCCTGTAGGCTGCATGTGGCCCAGGACAGTTTTGAATGCGGCCCAACACAAATTCATAAACTTTCTTAAAACATTACGAGATTTTTGTGTGATTTTTTTTTTAGCTCATCAGCTACTATTAGTGTATTTTATGTGTGGCCCAAGACAATTCTTCTTCTTCCAGTGTGGCCCAGGGAAGCCAAAAGATTGGACACACCTGGTAAATATACTTTTTTGTTAATTAATTTAAGATGCACCCTTTTCATATATTAAATTTTATATGTAGGGATGATGTCACTTAAAAATATTCCTTATCTTTTATTTCCTATAGTGTTATTAGTTCCCATTAGAAATACTGCACAATTTCCATTGAATTTTCCAATAAACTCTTTCTTACTGATAACATTTAAGTACAGACCCTAACATTTCCCATTCTTTATTTTATAACTGGTCTTTCTGTTAGCATAATGCTAAAACAAAACATTCTTCCCCCTTTTTATGTCAAATAAAATCAGCTTAAAATCTTAAATTGTTATAGATCATTAATTAGGCCCAACCTTCAAAACCCCTGAAGGACCTGCATGAATTTTTCTTAGCTTACCTGTTGGAGACAACTCTTTATGAATGTTGGGTTTCCATATGTTTTCTGAGCAGAAGCATTGACAGCTTTCGTTCCAGACTATCTTTTCAAAGATATTTGTATAGCAAACAGCCTTGAAACATAATAAAGATTGTATTTCCATTTGGAGGAGAGGCAGGTTTGTCTGTTGTTGAGAATAGTAAGGACAATGTCTCTCTCTCGGGCAAAGTTGAGGTTTCTCAGATTCAGGGTTCGTTGACTGTATAACACAAATTCCCTGCATTGGGCCATTCTAATTATGTTAGTGGTGCTTGGAGATAAACAGAGCAATCCAAAGTAAGTACAAAGCTTAAACTGCTTGCTATGTCATGAGAGTAAGAAGTTCCTTTGTTTCTGACCCAAGCCTCGTATCTTTTGCCAGCATCCATGACTAAACAAGTTAGCTTGCACATAGGATATAATCCAAGGTTATTCTCAGCCAAACATAGATTCTCACTGTAGTGCTTCAGCCAAGCTAATTTCTATAGGCTACTCCACCCAAGTCATACAGCTTTTATCTGTTAAAAAAAAAAATAGCTGTGGATTTGGTTTCATAGTTTACTATTGAATTTCTGCAATAGTATTTTTAAAATCATCAGGTTCTATGGTTATATGATACTGCAATCATTGTTTTAAATTAACAGTCACCAATAGGCTCATATTACCTTCTTTATGTGCCTAAGACTACTCTGATATTTTTATCCAGGATAACCGAAGCATGCAGCGGGTGGTTTATTAAAACAACATTTTAAAGATAAATCTGGGTTTCTGTAGCCTGAGATCTTTATAATCGTTGTTTACTTACAGTATTTTTTATTTTATAATTTTAGGCTTTTTTAAATTTTTAACTTTTGTGGTACATAGTAAGTGCATATATATTTATGGGGTACATGGGACATTTGAATACAGACGTGCAATGCGTAATAACCACATCATGGAGAATGGGGCATCCATCCCCTCAAACATTTATCCTTTGTGTTACAAACAATCCTATCATACCCTTTTAGTTATTTTAAAATGTACAATTAAGTTATTATTGACTGTAGTAACTCTGTTTTGCTATCAAAAAGTAGGTCTCGGACAGAAGCAATGGGCGGAGACTCAAGATGGCGGCTACGGTGCTGGCGGCTACGCGGTCGCTGAGGGGCTCAGGTTCTCGGGGCCGCTAGCGGCTGAGGTTTGGACCTCCTGCGTACAGACAGTTTAGTAGTGGTGGCACCTATCCCAACATCCCCCTCTCTTCTGCCTTACCTGGAGTACCCAAGCATGTTTTTGCTACAGTTGATGGACAGGAAAAGTTTGAATCCAAAGTTTCAAACCACATTGGATAACGGGTTTCGCGTGGCCTCTCAAAATAAGTTTGGACAGTTTTGTATAGTAGGAATTCTTATTAATTCAGGATCAAGATATGAAGCAACATACCTTAGTGGAATTGCTCACTTTTTGGAAAAATTGGCATTTTCTTCTAATGCTCGATTTAACAGCAAAGATGAAATACTGCTTACGTTGGAAAAGCATGGAGGTATTTGTGACTGCCAGACATCAAGTGACACCACCACGTATGCTGTGTCTGCTGATAGTAAAGGCTTGGACACGGTGTTCGGCTTACTGGCTGATGCGGTTCTGCAGCCCCAGCTAACAGATGAAGAAGTCGAGATGATGCAGATGGCGGTCCAGTTTGAGCTGGAGGACCCGAACATGCAGCCTGACCCAGAGCCACTCCTCACCGAGATGATTCATGAAGCGGCTTACAGGCTCTACCTCAACGTGCTCAACAGGCACCACAGTTGGCCTCCACCGTTTCTGTCCCACAGAAAACATAGCAAAGATCAATCGGGAAGTGCTGCATTCCTACCTGCGGAATTACTACACCCCCGACCGCGTGGTACTGGCTGGCGTGAGTGTGGAGGACCAGCACCTGGTGGAATGTGCCCGGAAGTACCTCCTGGGGGTCCAGGCGGCTTGAGGGAGCGCGGAGGCTGTGGATGTTGACAGTGGCCCAGTACACTGGGGGGATTGCCAAGCTAGAAAGAGACGTCAGCCTGGGCCCGACCCCCATCCCCGATGGGGGATCAGACTGGAGAGCTGCTCCTTCCTGGAGGAGGACTTCATCCCCTTCGCTTTGTTGAACATGATGATGGGCGGAGGCGGCTCCTTCTCGGCTGGCAGGCCCAGCAAGGGCATATTCTCCAGGCTCTACCTCGATGTGCTCAGCAGGCACCACTGGATATATAACGCGACCTCCTACTACCTCAGCTACGAGGACACTGGCCTCCTGTGCATCCTTGCCAGCGCCGACCCGAGGCAGGTTCCAGAAATGGTAGAAATCACCACAAAGGAGTTTATTTTAATGGGCGGAACCGTGGACGCGGTGGAGCTGGAACGAGCCAAGACGCAGCTGACGTCCATGCTCATGATGAACCTGGAGTCCAGGCCTGTGATCTTCGAGGATGTGGGGAGGCAGGTGCTGGCCACTCGCTCCAGAAAGCTGCCGCAGGAGCTGTGCACGTTCATCCGCAACGAGAAGCCGGAAGACGTGAAGAGAGTTGCTTCTAAGATACTCCAGGGGAAGCCGGTAGTGGCCGCCCTGGGCAAATCGACCGACCTGCCCGCTTACAAGCACATCCAGACCGCCCTGTGGAGCAAGGACGGGCGCCTGCTCAGGACTTACCGGATCTTCCGGTAGAGCCGCTCCCTGGCCTGATGGACCCAGGAGCTGCAGCTGGAGCCTGTTCCCGTGCGTGTTAGTTTGGACACGAATTTAGTCTAAAACGCTGTCTGGTTGTATAAACAGTGCAAACAATGTCGCCAGAGCACCCACGCAGTTTGCATTCCTTCAGAACCTGAATGTGCCAATCAGTGGAGTAAATACTGACCCTGACCACGGCAAGCCAGGAAGCAGGTGAAGTGCGGAGCGCTGGAGGGCAGCGTGCCATGAGGAGGCTGGGTCAGCGCTCCCCCTCCTCAGGGGCTCTCTAGGCACATGGTGTCCCGCAGGTTCCTTGAGAGGAGCAAGCCCTGAGCCGGGAAGCAGCAGAGGCCAAACTATCAGAGCCTCCCCAGAGGCCACCAACTTCCTGTGTCAGGTACCAGGACTCACCTCTGACAAACGGGAGAAGGCAAGGGCCTGGTCTACTCCGAGGAGCGCGGTCCACGCGTGTGCACGCCCGCTTCCCTGGTAGTAAAGAGCTGGCATCTTTCTAAAAAAAAAAGGTATTATTCAATGTTTCTATTATTTTTGCACCCATTAACTGTCTGCACCTCCTTTGCCCCAGCCCTGCAACTACCCTTCCCAGCCTTTGGTAACCATCATTCTACGCTCTATGTCCAGGAATTCAAATGTTCTGATTGTCAGGTACCAGGAATAATTGAGAACACACAGTGTTTGCCTTTCTGTGCCTGGCTTATTTCACTTAGCATAATGATCTCTAGTTCCAACCATGTTGTTGCAAATGACAGAATCTCATTCTGTTTTTATGGCTAAATAGTACTATGTTGTGTATATGTACCATATTTTCTTTATCCATTCATCTGTTGAGGGACCCTTAGGTTGCTTCCAAATCTTGTCTATTAACAGTGCTCCAACAAACATGAGTGTATGGATATCTCTTAAATATAATGATTTTGCTGGCTCATACGCTATCTCTATGGTTGTTTTTTTTGAGAAACCTCCAAACTGTGCTTCATACTGGTTGTACTAATTTACAATCCCACTAACAGTGTACAAGGGTTTTTTCTCCACATCCTTGCTAGCAATTGTTATTGCCTGTATTTTAGATAAAAGTCATTTTAGCTGGGGTGAGATGATATCTCATTGTAGTTTTGACTTGCATTTCTCTGATGATCAATGATGTTGAGCACCTTTTCATATGCCTGTTTGCCTGTATGTCCTCTTTAGAGAAATTTATATTTAAAATTGTGCCTTTTTTTTTTTTTTTTTTTGAGACAGAGTCTCGCCTTGCCACCCAGGCTGGAGTGCAATGGTGCGATCTCGGCTCACTGCAACCTCTGCCTCCCCAATTCAAGCAATTCTCCTGCCTCAGCCTCCCAAGTAGCTGGGATTACAGGTGCGTGCCACCATACCTGGCTTATTTTTGTATTTTTAGCACAAATGAGGTTTCACCATGTTGGCCAGGCTGGTCTCGAACTCCTGACCTCGTGATCCACCCGCCTCAGCCTCCCAAAGTGCTGGGATTACAGGTGTGAGCCACCGTGCCTGGCAAGTTTTCCCATTTTTAATTAGATTATTAGATTTTTTTTTCCTATACAGTTGTCTGAACTCCATATATATCCTGGATATTAATCCTTTGTCAGAGGAATAGTATGCAAATATTTTTTTCCCATTCTGTGTTGTTGTATCTTCACTTTGTGATCATATCCTTTGTTGTGCAGAAGCTTTTTAACTTGATGTAATCCCATTTGTCCATTTTGTTTTGGTTGCCTATGCTTGTGGGGTATTGCTCAAGGAAGTTTTGCCCCAACCAATGTCCTAGAGATTTTCTCTAATATTTTCTTGTAGTAGTTTCATAGCTTGAGGTCCTAGATTTAAGTCTTTAATCCATTTTGATTTGATTTTTATATATAGAGAGAGTTAGGGGTCTAGATTTATTCTTCAGCATATGGATATCCAGTTTTCCTAGCACCATTTATTGAAGAGACTGTCTTCTCCACAGTATATGTTCTTGGCACCTTTGTCAAAAATGATTTCACTGTAGGTGTGTTTATTTGTTTCTGTGTTCTCTATTCTGTTCCATTAGTTAATGTGTCTGTTTTTATGCCAGTACCATACTGTTTTTGTTACAATAGTTCTGTTTAATAATTTAAAGTCAGGTATTGTGATTTCTCCAGTTTTGTTCCTTTTGCTTAGCATGACTTTGGCTGTTCTGGGTTTTTGTAGTTGCATGTAAGTTTAAGGACTGTTTCTTTGTATTTCTGTGAAGAATGTCATTGGTATATTAATAGGGATTGCTTTGAATCTGTAGACTGCTATGGGTAGTATGGACATTTTAACAATATTGGTTTTTCCAATCTATCAATATGAAATATCTTTCCATTTTTTTGTGTGTCCTCTTCAATTTATTTCATCAGTATTTTATAGTTTTCACTGTAGAGCTCTTTCTCTTTTTTGGCTAAGTGAATTCCTAGGTATTTAATTTTATGTGTGGCTATTCTAAATAGGATTGCCCTTTAAATGTCTTTTTCATATTGTTTACTATGGGCATATAGAATTGCTACTGACTTTTGTATGTTGATTTTGTATCCTGCAACTTTACTGAATTTGTTTATCAGCTCTAACAGTTTTTTTGTGGAGTCTTTGGGCTTTTCTAAATATAAGATTATATCAGCTGCAAACAAGGATAATTTGACTTCTTCCATTCCAGTTTGATTGCCCTTTATTTCCTTCTCTGATCTGAATGCTGTGACTCCCAGTATTGTGTTGAATAGCAGCAGTGAAAGTGGGCATCCTTGTCCTGTTCCAGATCTTAGAGGAAAGAATTTGAGTTTTTCTCTATTCAGTATGATGCTAGTTGTGGGTCTGTCACATATGGCTTTTATTATCTTGAGTTGTGTTTCTTCTATACCCAGTTTTTTGAATGTCTTTCTTATCATGAAGGGACATTAAATTTTATCGAATGCTTTTTCAGCAGCAATTGAAATGATCATATGATTTTTGTCCTTCATTCTGTTGATATGATGTATCACATTCATTGATTTGCATATGTTGAATCATCCTTGTATCCCAGGGATAAATCTCCCAGGGTCATGGTGAATGATCTTTCTAATGTATTGTTGAATTCGGTTTGCTAGTATTTTGTTGACGATTTTTGCAACAATATTCATCATAGATATGGCCCGTAGTTTTCTTTTTAAATGTGTTTTTGGTTTTGGTATTAGATACTGGCTTCATAAAATGAGTTTAGAAGTATGTCCTCCTCTATTTTTCAGAAGAGTTTGAGTAGATTGGTATTAGTTCTTCCTTAAATGTTTGATAGAATTCAACACTGAAGTCATCAGGTCCTGGGCTTGTCTTTACTGGAAGACTTTTTTTTATTATGACTTCAAGCACATTACATGTTATTGGTCTGTCCAGGTTTTGGATTTCTTCTTGTTCAGTCTTGGTATGTTGTATGTATGTAGGAACTTGTGAATTTTCTAGATTTTCTGCTTTTGGTTTTTATTGTCTTTTCTGTTATTCTTTACCCTGATGTTACCACATATATTTAACAGGAGAATTCCTTAAGATTCTCAAAGGCACAGCCTGCATTATCCCCAAGTGTTTTAAAATATTGGCTACTTAGGGACTATATTCACCATGCCGAGTTGGGATTATACTTTAGCATTGACAATATGGGTGTTTTTCCTATGCTCTCAGCAAACGTCATCTGTGAAAATATAATAGTTTAGTAGCTATGATATATACCCTGAATATGATATCTAATAAAAACTTTTCATATGCACACTATTATTTATTGCAAGTATAAGTTTTTGTATTTTTTAAAGTAAGGAAATATTCAGGATAACAATGTGATTTAACCAAGAGTATTTTGTTATTAAGTGATATATCTTTGAACACAGGATGCCAAACTCCAAATCTCAGAATTAAATGCAATCTTGATTTATATTAATTGTTTTTTAGTAGACATAACACTAATGCATATGAATACAAAAATGCATAAAATTAAGCCTTTTGTCTTAAGGGGATATTTGAGAGACAGTGTGTATCCCTAATCTGTATTTATCCACTATGTCAATGCCACATTTTCCTTCACAGAACCTCACTGGGTAACCTTTTTATTAGAAAGAACCATCTTCATTGCATGAGCTATGAGTTACCAGTTACCAATCTTAGCTCTGGTTCTAGGAGTCTTACCAACAAAATGTGTGGTCTTGAGCAAGGTCATACAATTTATATGAGTCTCACTTTCTTTCTTTGTGAAAAATATGCATGACTACTAGAATAGTAGATAATTCCTGAATAGGCTGAGATTGTTCCTGCCTCAGATCTTTGGCTTTAGCCTTTCTGTTTAGTTGGAATTTCATCCACAAGTTTTTCATTCTAGGTTTATTTTCCCTGTTTATTACCAGAATTTGCATCGTATGTGTTTTACATGTCTAATTTCCTTTTGTGTTTCTTAGAATATAAACAGCATGATGGCTAGAAGTCTGTTTAACTTTAATGTTTTATGTGTCATGCCTAGAGCACTGCTTAACACATAGTAAGCAGTCAATATAAATTTTCTTGAATGAATGAATACATAAATATTTGTAAAAACTAAATGAAGTAATATATAGATGAATGAAAATGAAACACTTTTATGGCATTCTATTATTATAACCCTTTCACCTCATAAATATTTATTCAATGTATGTTCATTGCTAGGATTTCAATGTGCCTATTGTGGTCTTTAATTAAATGAATCAGGAAGCTAGACCAATAAATTATGCCAAATAAAACTAGTTAATAATGCAAAATTTTGTGCTCAGTTTCTCCAGGAAAAAGATTCTGATACATCTTTCAATAGTAGTAATAATGGAGATGGAAGAATGAGAGGCTGGGAGAGAGGTAGAGATGATTTTGTTTTCTACAGAAAATGTAATGAAAGATGATGGGATTAAATGGTTAAGACTCAGGAATAAAAATGAAAATTATTTCCCCATTTCTGACTAAGCATGCGCTATTGGCAAGCTGCAGAATTTACACTAATGTGCCCCAGTGAGGCCAGGGAACAAAGACCATGGCTGAAAACCTGGCAGAGTTAGAGTCTGATGTTGGTTCTATATAACTGCACATGGCTGAGGCTTTGGCAGCTCAAGAGAGGAAGGTGTCTGTATCGTCAGCCCCATGAATAACATGGATAAACATATATTTTATACAATAAAAGTTTTTATTCCCATGTATAATATCTAGATATAGTTTTTAAAATTATTGCTATCTATTAAAATATTTTGGTAACTTTTTGTTTTCTTTTTTTGGACTTTTGCTAATGTGGATTTCAGTAATGTCTCAGTAAGCAGTAGTAGGTACAAAAGCTATTCCATTCTTTCTCTGGAACTAGGCAAACATCAGCAGTTCAGGTAATCAGTAGCTCTTCCTTGATTATCACCATTATGAGCTAGGCTTTGATTTAATAGTCTTTAAATTTGTTGAGGAGCATGGACACTATTAAGAATTGTTTAAACAATAGCTACTAATTTCAGCCCAGGGAAATGCACACACACACACACACACACACACACACACATAATTTTTGGCATATAATTTCAGGAGAGCTAGAGATCTCTTAACACTGATCCATGAACCTAAGAAATTTTATATCCTTTTAAGTAGACGGTAAGCTCAAAGCTCTAAAATACAAACTATGCTTTCTATTTATTGTGAAATGTCTCTCTAAACTTTTTTTGTGATATTTACTGAATTAGAACATTATAACTTTTTTACTGAAAATGTTCACCTGCTTTTAATTCAACTTATAATAATTAGATCTACTTAGTGTGTGGGAATTAAAGTTACTTAACATGGACAATTGTAGCAAGTACACACAAAGAGTACACAGAGTTGGGTTTGAATCCTAACTTTGTCAACTAATAAGGACTGTTTTGCTTGTCATTTACAGAAAATCTAACCCAAATTGGCTTAAGCAAAAATATAAAAAATAAAATGACAGGGATCTTTATTAGTGGTCAAACTTTAGACACATCAACCTAGGAAATCAAGTGCTATATTTAAATACTGTTTCTCTCCTTATGATAACTTACTTTTCATCCATTGGGTGCAATTCTCTGGCAAGCTACATTAGATAAGAGCTAACAGGTCCCAGTTAATTTTCAAGTTCACTAGAGTTAGAAAGAACATATTTTTTGATATATCAAATTAAAGATGAATTCTTTTGTCTTAGGTCATGGCCCTATTTCTGAACCAATTACTTTGGCCAGGGTTTGAAATTGGCCAAACCCAATTCATATATATACCTCCAAAACCATCAGGGATAGGTGTCAGGTCTCCCTGAAGTTCACTGAGATCCTCTGAATTCTCTGAATTGAAGCCAGCATGCCATGGTCACTAGAAGAAAACTAGTTAATAGTTACTAAAAAAATAGAAGGAAAAGATGCAAGACTGGCAAAAAACAACATATGTTTGCACATACAGCCCAATTGCTATCTGTGTACCCTTGAACAAGTTACTTAACACTGTGGCTGTCAGTTTCTCTAATTATAGCAGGAGTAATAATATCTATCTTCCAGGGTTTTCATGACCATTAAATGAGATAGGCAATCTATATAACTTTGGCATAATTACATGTATAATAAGTTCTCAACAAATAATACTGTTTTCTTTTCATCTATACCTCCTCTGACTCCTTGCTCTCTTAACCAATATCAAATGCACAGTATAGTTATATTTTATCCAAAACATAAGGATCTTTTAAAATTTGGATAAATCTGTTAGAATTTCTCCTTTTTAGACTTCTCTTCTCCATACTCCTTCATAACATCTGCAGTCTAGAGCAAGTAGGACTGATACAGACAGGAGACAGCCAAGGGTCCATGGCAAAACCCTGCCTTCTAGCCTAAAACAGCATGAAGGCTGAAAAATCAAACTGCTGCTCCTGGATGAAGCCCACCCTTTCCCCTTTCCCGACTGATTCTCTCTGACTAATGCCCACCTGCACCCTGGGAGAATAGGGTGGAGCCTCAGGCAGTTCATGCCATTTGCAGCCAGGAGGAGCCTGGCCTCTTCAGTTCCTGTGTGGTGACCTGGGATTCAATCTGTGAGATGGAGGGCCTGTTAGCAGGACTCCATCTCACTTTGCTGAGTTTTTTTTTTCCTTTTTTCTTTTCACTCAATAAATTTTGTTCCCCACCCTTCTATGTGTCCATGAACCTAGTCTTTTTTGGTCATGTGACAAGAACCCAGTTTTAGCTGAACTAAGGAGAAAGTTCTGCAACAAGATCAAGTACAAATGCTGACCTCAAAGATTTCATACTTAAAGCAGTCTGAATATAGAGTGTAGTGGTAGTAATTGTGAAAAAGCACATTAGCACCACCCGTATAATTTGAACAATTATAATACCAACATTTTCCAAATAAGTGATTCCTTATTTTAATATAATATTATTTGTATTCATCTTAGGTCAATTCAAGGTAGTTTATATTGTACTTAGCATAAAATGTTCACTAAGAAATAGCCTAAATTAAATCAGTAATTCTTCCTGTGCCACTGCTATTAGGTTCAATTACTTGAGAACAGAGAATTAATATTAGGACTAATAATAGTTTCTTATATATCATTATATCTTAATGAGTTTGAAGTATTATCTAACATTGGAAGAGAGAGTTATGCCATGAAACTAGTACACATTAATTTAAGAACTACATTGTAATCACACCCCAAATCAAATAGTCCAGACTCCTTGACAAGGGCGTAATTCAAATGTGAAGCCCCATGGCATCAAGAGGCACTGCAATGAACCTTAAAAGTTTTCACAGATTCATTAATTTGTTAACATAAGTATGTGGAAGTTAATTTGAACTTTCAAACAGATTTTATTGAAGCATTCTCTATGTCACATGAGGCTTATTATTAAGAGAAATATAATAAACATACAAACCACAAAACAATAAAGATTTCAAAAATATTACCTTTACTTGCTTCCTACACTGAAGCTGACTTACTTTAAATTATATAAAATTGTATATTAAGAATTTTGGCAAACTATTCACTCGTAAAATGCATTTAATTTTCTGCGCATTTTGAATACACACTTTAGCAACTTGTTTCTTCATATTATGTCTATATTTCAGGAGAGCAATTTAGTACATGGTAAGAAACACAGTTTTTAAGTGAAGTGAAATCTCATGTGTTAAAATACTACAAAACTTTAAAACCCTGATTTTTAAAGTGTTGAGATACTTAAGTCTTTGAATAAAGATATATCTTTATCCTAAATCAAATACTTTTTGCCATATATGTCCTCACTTAATCCATGGGAGAATGAGCTATTACTTTAGCTTTAAAAAATGTTTTCAATCTCAGATACTTAGAATAGCAAGATGAGTAGTGGTTCCACTGGTCTTAATTCAAAGTACTAAAGATGGGAATAGAATTTGAGTTGGAAGTAGAGCTCCCTAGAATTTCCATTAAAATACCATTAATTGTTCTAAAAAATTATTCTATGATTGCCAACTGCCTCTCCCATCTCTTATTTTTCCATGAATTTATATTTTAGGGAATTTGTACCAGCTTATTTGGTATATTTCTTTTCACTTTTTAGGTTTTATTTTTAAGTTATCC
The DNA here is from genome assembly GCF_000001405.40 of Homo sapiens. Lineage (NCBI taxonomy): Eukaryota > Metazoa > Chordata > Mammalia > Primates > Hominidae > Homo > Homo sapiens. Next base: position 92,173,863 of record NC_000004.12, on the reverse strand, counting down.
ATTCTACCATATTCCTTTGCTTTTATCTTCCAAGACTTCTACTGATTTAAAAAATTATTATGGAAGTTATATTTTAAATTTGTAAAATCTGAATAGTCAATTCAATCTTGTAGAATAGCAAATCCGGTGTATTCATAGTGTTAGAGATTAAAACCTAGTATAAAGATACAGTAATGAATATAGTGTATGTACCAACATAGAAAAGGCCAATAAAACATAACTGAGAGTCAAAAAAAGACCCTCATACATATCTGTCTCTTGACTTATGACAAAGGTAACACTAAAGTGTGATGGAAGAATAACAGTTTTGCCGATAATTATTGCTGAAAATATTAGCTATTTATGTGAAAAAAAAATCTTGACCTACTTAATACCACATGCAAAAACAGTTACAGAAATATTGCAAATCAAAATGTAACAAGTAAACTATAATGTTTAATGACAGAGCAGGAGCACCGTCATCTTGGACAAACACTGCCACTTTGAGTTCCAGCTCCCTTTCTAGCTTCATGCGTTTCAAGGAAATCACTTCTCTTCTAACTACAACCAGACAGAAAGAGCAGACAGTAAAACACAGATAAGACAGCTTGGGCACAGAGAAAAGTAGGGGGAAAGTCTCTTGGGTTACTGCCAAATTTCACCCTCATACAGTGAGCCCCAGTAAAACAGTGGGCCTTAATAAGAACATTCCTTTCCCTTGAGGTGCAGTAAGGTAGGGAAGCTAAAAGCAAACTCCGGGGGATATGCCTGCAGCTGCAGAGAGATGTATGGGAACAAACACACAACTCTCCCTCTCAGATAAACACAACAAACAGACACAAAAGCAGTCCAATCCTCTAATAAACTCTCGTACCCTAAATCCTTAAAAACTCGTAGTCTGTAAAAAAGTGTGGCTCTAATCTAACTTGGCCAGCAACCCCTCTCAGATTCGTTTAAAATAAACCTGTCCCTGTTAACTGTAAAGCCAATCTTCGTGTTTCTCTCCTCTTTCTTTAATTCTTACAGTTTTTATTAGAAAACCAAGAAAAATATCTTAATGGCATTAGATTACATAATGATTTCTTTACAAGCACACAAAAAAATACAAATAGGAGATGAGATTTATCAACATTAAACACCAAGTGCTTCTGTTCCTCCAAAAACATTATTGAAAGAATAGAAATTCAAGCCACACATTGGGAGAAGATATTTACAATACTTCTATCTGACAAAGAACTCACATCCTGTATACTTACTGATAAGACTCCTATGAATTACTAAAAAAAGAGAAAACTCCAAAGAAATGTGGCAAAAATCTTGACTAGATACATTACAATATACAGCATTTAAATGTCCAATAAACATATCGACTAATGCTAAATTTAGTTAATCACTAAGAAGGTGCAAATTTAAATCCCAGTATAATACTACTGTACACCCATTCATATTGCAAAAATGAAAAAGACTGACACCAAGTGTTGACAAGGGTGTGGAGCAACTAATGGTGGGAGTATAAATGATTAGAATCATTTTGGAAAATAATTTGGCAGTATCTGCTAATCTTTAGCATCTGCATACTGTTTGAAGCAGCACATCTCCTCCCAGGTGTAAATGTAACAGAAATGTGGACCCATGTACACTGAAAGACAAGTTCAATGATGTTTATAATAACACTATTCATAATAGTCCCAAACTGGAAACAATGCAGACATAAGTGGCATTAATAAATACACCTATTACTGAGAGTGAAAGTGAGCAAAATTATCACTGAGCAACATAGCAGGGTATAATCACAAAAACAAAGTGTTGAGCAAAAGAAGCCAATCACAAAAGAGTTCCTACTGTATAAATACATGTAACTTTTTTTTTTAATAAGCAAAACTAACCAATATAGTAATTTTATTTGCTGACAAGAGGGAAAGAGGCTGGAAATGATGATGACAAAAGCATCTGTGGTGTTGATATTATACTGTGTTTTGATCTTTATCTCATTACAAGGATATATTCACTTTGTTAAAATCATAGAGCTGTATGACTTGATTTAAGCCCATTTTGTATGTATATTTCATGAAAATATTGCATACTTTCAATGTCTTTTTAAATGTTTTTTTTTATTTCTCATATTAATTTGTTTTTTTATAGATATACATTTTTCTTGATCTTTTCAAAGTGAAATTTTAAGATATTTAAATTATCAGATCATCTTAGGATTTTCTTTTTTTCTTGGTTTTTAAAATTTGTTTATCGTTATAATTCCTTTTTTCAGAAGATATATCAGATATGTATTGATTCTTTGTTTCTATTTCTACCTAAAATGAATCATTGAGAAGAACAGTAATTCACTCAATGCAAGGCAAAGCTTACTTACCTGCAACATTGGTCTAGGGCAACTGAGCAGCTAACAAGCCATTATGCTGCTGTTTCTTTAAAGAACACAATTAAGAAAGCTTCACTTACATGAGTTGCTCTGTTTCTCCTAAAATAGTATATTGAATTTATGTTGAAAATAACTAATTTTGTTTTTGTGTTCGTCCAACATTAATGCTTGGAGACTGTTTTCTGCTACAGTTGATATTGAATGTTGGTTGCATGTCTGGATATACAGCATGTAGACAAGGGATTCTTAAATACTGTTGCAATTGAATCCCTAATTTTTAGTCCTACATCTTATGCTTGCATCCCCTCCTGTCCTGCATCCTTGAACTTGTCTAGAATTCTTCCAAGGAGAGGAATTCCCTCTTTGGTTAAAACCTTTCTGCACGCATTCTCATTTGTGAAAATTTAATTTCCTTCTTTAGTCACTTCCATTTATATTCACCTTCCAGAAAATATTTGAAATATTTCATTTTATGATTATCTGTTTCCCATGATCTTCATTGTCATGGGTTTATACCTTTAAAAACCTTTCATTATCATCTTATTAGTATCTTTGCATAAAGTAGATCAATGTATAGACTTAATTTGTAACCTTGAATCACAAGGCATATAGATACGTATTTAAACATAAGAGAGTTTATGTTTGTGTGGGTGTTACAGCTGAAAGAGCACTGTAGTTAGAGTCAAAAGATATATAAATCTGAATTTAAGTTTCTTTACAGCCATATACCAAATGGTTGACCTTGAACAAGTACATAATAACTCTGAGTTAAATTAATATAAAATATAAGGACCTAAGGCATATTAATCTAACACATGAAACTCAGCAGTTAAACTTTGAAATGTTATATAATTGAGAATGATTTATTATATGTCCTTACTGAAAACAATGAGTTTCATCATCATTATATAGAAAGCAGTATACACTATAATTTTTTAACAATCTTATTTAACATTCAATGCAGTAGTAATTGATGACTCATGCAGATTTTACTCTTGCTAATACTAATTATAATGATGAAGCCATCCTATGTATACTGTATTTCCTAAGGCAATTAAGAAAATATAATAAATTATAGCCTCCCTATTTTTATTCAGCCTGTTCTGTTATCTTTATATATTGCGTAGCTCTTAAGATTAAAATGGACGTGGTTTTTTTTAACTCAATAGATTATGAGAACCAGAAATATGTACATATATATGAATAATGTAATGAATGTGTACTATGTTAACAAGGCTAAAGTGAAACTATGTTCCCTAGAAGTCTGTTCCCTATGTGATTCCAGGTTAGGATTTTCCACAGGAGAATTCTCTGCAATATTTGGAAGGCAGAAGTGAAGCAGCAGCCACCCGTAGGCTTAGTTAGTTAAAGTTGGATAAAGTGCTGCTGCAATTCATGCACGTTGTCTCTGGTCTGCTGGGTCACTTTGTTGGTGTGGGCCAACAGCTGTGCCTGAAGCTTGTGTATGTAGTATATACAAATTTTCCTCCTTCATTTTCTCTAATTCCTGTGCCTCATACCTGTGTGGTTTCATGGGAAAGTTGCTAACGTTTTCCTCATGTGAATTTGGTGGCTGGAGGCGTTGAGAAACAGACAATGATTTTAATTTGTCCCAGAGGTTCCACCACATCATCAGAGCTGCTAGTTTGTCCTTGCTCTCCATATTTCACATCCAATTTTTTTCCTGCTGTTCGACCTGATGACAAAATCCAGCACCAAAAGCAGAATCAACAGCCTTAAATAGGCTGCTTAACTTGCCCTCACAATTGAGCACGTTCAAAATCCTATAAAAGCACACTCTATTCATATTATTAACAGTAAGTCTGCTTATCTGATTGAAATATACCTGATAATGAACAGTAAGATACAATCATGAAGTAGGCACAAGACAATGGACTGCATGCATCTTAGGAAGTGAAAAGCTGAACATGACCTAGACAAGAAGAATCTGAAAATTGACATAGAAATAAAGAATATGTAAAGAAAAAAGAGGTTGCATATATTTTCCTAGTGGTAATTAGAAGACAATGCAGGAGACTTCAGAATTATTGTTTTATTAAGCAGCAAAAATATTACCTTGTATTTGCTGAAAGATAAGCCAAATTGATATGTTGATGACTGACATGTAATGAAGGGAACCATGGTTGTAAATACAAGTGTATTGATCAAAATGTTATGAGAAGAATTTTAAAATAACATAAGGTAAACCCATTTAATGTGCCTATTGTTGTAGATGACATCAATGTGAAAATAAGATAATTTATTCTAATTTTTAAATTTTAGTTTCAAGAGGGTACATGTGCAGGTTTGTTACGTGGATATTTTGGACAGTACTAGGATTTGGGCTGCTATTGAACTCATCACCCAAATAGTGAATATAGTAGTTAATAGGTAGTTTTTCAACCTTGGTCCCCTCCCTCCCTCGTTTCCCACTTTTGGAGACCACAGTGTCTATTGTTTCTGTCTTTGTGTCTGTGTGTACCCATTTTGTAGCTCTCACTTATAAGGGAGAACATGCAGTATTTGATTTTCTGTTTCTTCATTAATTCAATTGTGATAATGACCTCCAGTTGCCTCCATGTTCCTGCAAAGGACATGATCTCATTCTTTCTTATGACTGTGTAGTATTCCATGGTGTATATGTACCAATTTTATTTATCCAATCCACCATGGTTGGGCACACAGGTGGATTCCATGACTTTGCTGTTGTGAATAGTTCTGCAATAAAGATGAGTTCAGATGTCTTTTGGTAGAATAACATCTCTTCCATTAGTTAGATATCAGTAACAGGTAGTTCTATTTTTGGTGGGTTGAGGAATCTCCAATCTACTTTCCACAGAGGCTGAACTAATTTATATTCCCACCACCAGTGTGTAAGCATTCCCTTTTCTCTGCATTTTTGCCCATCTCTTATTTTTTGACTATTTATTAATAGCCGTTCTGACTGATGTGAGATGGTATCTTATTGTGGTTAAATTTCATTTTTCTGAAGACTAGTGATATTGAGTATTTTTTCATAAATTTCTTGGCTGCTTTTTTGTCTTCTTTTGAAAAAGGAGTGTTAATGTTATTTGACCACTTTTTAATGGTGTTATTTAGTTTTTATTTGTTTAAGTTGCTTACAGATTCTGGATGCTAATCCATTGTCAGACGCATAGTTTGCAAATATTTTCTTCCTTTTTTGTACTTTGTCTCTTTACCCTGTTGATTGTTTCTTTTGTTGTATAGAGAGATTTTTAGTGTAATTAATTCCCATTTGTCAATTTTTGTTTTTGTTGCATTTGCCTTTGTGTTCTTAGTAATGAATTATTTGCCTAGGCAAATGTCCAGAATAATTTTTCCTGGGTTTTTTTCTAGGATTTTTATAGATTGAGATCTTAGATTTAAATCTTTACTACATCTTGAGTTAATTTTTGTATATAGTGACAGGTGGGGATCCAGTTTTGTTCTATATGACTGGCCAGTTTTCCCAGTACAATTTATTGAAAAGGTGTCCTTTCCTCATTGTTTATTTTCGTTGACTCTGTCAAACATCAGTTTGTTGTGGGTGTGTGGTTTTATTTCTGAGTTCTCCTTCCTGTTCTATTGATCTATATGCCTATTTTTGTACAATACCGTGCTGTTTTGGTTATTAGAAACTAGTAGTATAGTTTGAAATGGAGTAGTGTGAAGCCTGCTCCTTTGCTCCCTTTGCTTTGCCTTGACTATTGGACATGTTTTTGGTCCCATATGGATTTTACAATTAATTTGACTAATTCTGTGAAAAATTATGTTAGTAATTTTATGGGAATTGCATTGAATCTGCACGTTGCTTTGGGTAGTGTGGGCATTTAAACAATATTGCTTCTTCCAATCCATGAGCATGGAATGTTTTTCCATTTGTTTGTGTCATAAATAATTTATTTCAGCAGTGTTTTGTAATTCTCCTTGTAGAGCTCTTTCACCTCCTTGGTTAGATGTATTCCTAGGTATTTTTTTTTTTTGATGGCTATTGCAAGTAGGATTGCACCCTTTATTTGGTTCTCAGCTTGAACTGTATTGATGTATAGAAATGCTAGTTATTTCTGTATGCTGATTTTGTATCCTGAAACTTCACTAAAGTAGTTTATCAGATCTAGGAGTCTTTTGGAGGGAGGTTTAGAGTTTTCTAGGTATAGAATCATACTGTAAGCAAATAGAGATAATTTAATGTCCTCTTTCCTATTTGGATGCCTTTTATTTCTTTCTCTTGTCTGATTGCTCTGGCAAGTAACTACCATACTATATTGAATAGAAGTGGTGAGAGTAGATGTCCTTGTTTTTGTCCAGTTCTTTGGGAAAATGTTTTCAAGTTTTGTCAGTTCAATATGATGTTTGCTGTGAGTTTGTCATAAATGGCTGTTATTATTTTGAAGTATGCTCCCTTGACACCTACTTTCTTGAAGGTTTTTATCATGAAGGGATATTGGATTTTATTGAATGCCTTTTTTGCTTCCATTGAGATTATCACATGGTTTTTGCTTTTAATTCTGTTTACGTGGTGGATCATGTTTATTGATATGCTGAAATTTAACCATCCTTGCATCCCAGGACTAAAGCCCACTTGGTCATGGTAAAATATCTTTTTGATATGCTACTGTATTCATTTTGCTAGTCCTTTTGTTGAGGATTTTTGTGCCTATGTTTACCAGGGATAACGGCCTGCAGTTTTCTTGTGTTTTTGCCGAATTTCGGTATAAGATGATTCAAGTTTTATAGAATGAGTTAGGAAGAAACACGTCTCCTCAATTTTGGGGTAATAATTTCAGTAAGATTGATACCAGCTCTCTTTGTACATCTGGTAGAATTCAGCTGTAAATCTAACTGGTCCAGAAGTGTTTTTGGTTGGTTAGTTTTTTGTTGCCAATTTAATTTTATAATTTACTATTGGTCTGTTCAGGGTTTCAGTTTCTTTTTGGTTCAATGAAGAGAGGTTTGTGTGTTTCCAAGAATTTATCCATATCCTACAGGTTTTTTTGTGTGTTCACATAGAGATCTTCGTAGTAATCTCTGAGGATTTTTGTATTTCTGTGAGATCAGTTGTTAACGTCCCTTTGTCATTTTTGATGGTGCTTATTTGGGTCTTCTCTTTATTTTCTTTGTTAATCTAACTAGTAGTCTATCAGTCCTGTTTACCCTTTCAAAAGCTAACTTCTTATTTTGTTGATCCTTTGTTTAAGTTCATTCTTTGGTCTCAATTTTATTTAGTTCTGCTCTAATTTTAGTTATTTATTTTCTTCTGCTAGCTTTGGGTCTACTTTGTTCTTGTTTTTCTATTTCCCTTAAGTGTGACTTTAGGTTGTTAATTTGAAATCTTTCTATTTTCTTGATGTAGGCATATAGTGCTCTAAACTTTCCTCTTAACCATTACTCTTGCTGAATCTCGGAGTTTTAGGCATGTTGTTTCTCTATTTTCATTTGTTTCAAATATTTTTTTTTATTTCTGCCTTAATTTCCTTGTGTATTCAAAAGTCGTTCAGGACCAAGTTGTTTAGTTTCCATGTATTTGTGTGGTTTTGAGAATTCCTCTTGGTATTGAGTTCTAATTTTACTCCACTGTGTTCAAAGAGGATGGTTGGTATAATTTTGACTTTCTGAATTTATTGAGACTTGCTTTATGGCCAAGCATGTAGTCAGTCCTAGAGAATGTTCCATATGTGGATGAGAAGAATGTATATTCTGTAGTTGTTGGGTGGAGTATGCTGTAGCTGTCCATTAAATCCATTTGGTCAAGTGTTCCACTTAAGTCTACAATTTCTGTGTCAGTTTTCTACATCAATGGTCTCTCTAACATTATCACTGGGGTGTTAAAATCCCCATAATTGTTGTGTAGCTTTCTATCTCTTTTCTTAGGACTAATAGTAATTGTTTCATAAATTAGGATGCTTTGATGTTGGGTGCATATATATATATATATATAATGATTATATCTTCTTGTTGAATTTTATAATGCCCTTTTTTGTACGTTTTCACTATTGTTGGTTTAAAGTAAGTTTTATGTAATATAACAATAGCAACCTTGCCTTTTGTTTGTTTTCGGTTTGCATGATAGATCTTTCTCCATCTCTTTAGTTTGAGTCTATGATTGTTATCACATGTGAGATGGGTTTCTTGAAGACAGCAGAAGATCATTTATTTTATCCAATTTGCCATGCTGGCTTTTACGTGGAGCATTTACACCATTTATGGTAAAGGCTAATATTGATATGTGAGGTTTCCTTCCTCTCATATGGTTGATAGCTAGTTGCTTTGTAATCTCAGTAGTATATTTGCTTTATAGGGTCTGTGGACTTTGTACTTATGTGTGCCTTTGTGGTAGCAAGTATCATCATTTTGTTTTTTGTTTAGAATTCCACTGAGCTTTTTTTTTGTAGGTTCAGCCTGGTGGTGACGAATTCTCTTAACATTTACTCTTCTGAGGAAGACTTTATGTCTGAAGCTCAGTTTAAAAGGATACTAAGTTCTCGTTTGGCATTTTGTTTCATAATGAAGGCTAAAAATAGGTCCCCAATCTTTTTTGGCTTGTATGGTATCTGCTGAGAAGTCTGCTATTAGTCTTATGGAATTCCCTTTATAGGTAATTTTGCCATTTTCTCTATCTGTCTTTAAGATTTTTTCTTTCACATTGACCTAGGATAGTCTAATGACTATGTGCCTTGGGGAAGGTTGTCATGTGCATTGTCTCACTGAAGTGCTCTGGATTTTTTTTTGTATCTGCTGCATGTCAACGTTTTTAGCAATTCCTGGATTATACTCTGAAATCCCTTTTCCAAGTTGCTTACTTTTTCATCTTCATCTTCTCTTTCAGAAATGCCAATAAATTATATGTTTAGTGGCTTTACATTATTTTCTAATTCTCAAAAGTTTTCATTAAAAAATCTTTTTCCTTTATTTTTGTCTGGTTTGGTTGATTCAAAAAGACTGATTTTTGAGCTCTGAAATTTTTTCTTATGCTTGATCTAGTCTATTACTAAGGATTTTGATATGGTTTGGCTGTGTCCCCACCCAAATCTCATCTTTAGTTTCCATGTGTTGTGGGAGGGACCCAGTAAGGTAACTGAATCATGGGGGCAGGTCTTTCCCTTGTTGTTCTCGTGATAGTGAATAAGACTCATGAGATCTGATGGTTTTAAAAATGTGAGTCTCCCTGCAGAAACTCTATTCTCTTGTCTGCTGCCATGTAAGACGTGCCTTTCACCTTCCATTATGATTGTGAGGCCTCCCCAGCCACACGGAACTTTAAGTCCAATAACCCCCCTTTTTTTTTTGTAAATTGCCCAGTTGTGGGTATGTCTTTATCAGCAGTGTGAAGATGGACTAATACAGTCTCCAATTGTATTTTGAAATTCCTGTAGTGACATTTTTAATTCCATAAGCACTCTTTGATTCTTTTAATATAGTGATGTCTTCTTTCAAATCCTGGATCATGTTATTGTTATCTTTGTGATGGATTTTAACTTTATCTTGGATCTCATTGAGTTTCCAGCAATACATACTTTGAATTCTTTATCTTTCATTTCAGCCATTTCAATGTGGTTAGGATCTATTGCCAGGGATCTAATGCAATTTTTGGAGGTGACAGAACACTGTTTTTTGTACTGCCAGAGCTTCTGTGCTGATTTGCTCTCACCTGAGGGAGCAGCTGTTGCTTCTATTTTTTTGTTTGTTTGTTTGTTTTTCTTTGTTTTGGATGGGGCTTTTTAATTTTTAATTCTTTTTCCCCTTGAGGATTTTACTGTGGTGTATGTTGTATATGATCCATTGGCTTCGTTTCAATTATTTTGAGGGGGCCAAGTCTCTGTATGTGTGTCTTGGTTGCAAATAGGTTCTGTGTGGTGCTTTCTCAGATGCTTCTTGATGTAGTGATATATTTTTGTTTAGTGATGCAGTTCAGACTACACTCCAGTAGATGGCACTTAACATTAAGAGCGGGCAAGTGGCCTGGTGCCTAGTGGGCACAAACTGCCCTAATGAGGTTGGCACCTAGAAATCATGATGGGATGTGCTGAAATATTGGGAGAAGAGTGGGTACACCAGTTCCTTGACCTGAGTTAGCAGAAATGTGATCCATTTCCCTATCATGCACCTGTTTTGAGTCTAACAATCTTCTGTTTTTATAAAGGCTTTCTCCTTTGATTCCTGGCCTTAGTACAGCTGTGGGCTGCAGATCCACCTCTCTGAAGACTATAGCTAGAATAGGGCTTGGAGCAGAACCTCTTCCCCAAGACCAGAGCAGGAAACTCCACAGTCTCTCCTTAGTTTCTGGGGCACTGCTGTTCAGTGAAGGGAAAGGAAGTTGGGCCTCACTTTTCATGGAAGCGTGAGCAGATGCCAGTTTACTTTCAGTGGAGTGGAGGCTCTAGGAAAGTGGGAAAAGTTCTTTCTTTCCATGAGTACTCAGTGGCTCGATGGGAAGAACTGCTGTTGCATGTGTAACAGTGTATTGGGGGTGTGTGGGCAGAAGGAGGGTAAAAGATGACCGCCTCTCCACATCCATTGCCAGGCATTAGTGTTGCCTCCTTCATTGGTTTATACCATGCTCACATTTCCTTTGTATCAAAGAGGGTTTGGGTGGGTTTTACTCTCTCTTCCCTTAGGAATGGCTCATGCCAAGGGTGAGATTTCCAGAGGGCCCACAACTCCCTGGGGACCTGCCATTTCCCTGTGCTTGCCAAAGTCAGAGTGGGTTGTGGGATATGTCTGTGGGTGTTCTGGTGGTGCAGTGGTTAAAGAGCAGAGGATACCCAGACAGGGGAGTGACACCATGAGTGCACCACCAGTATGGTGCATGCCATCTCATTTTGGGTGTTAGGGTTGTGGCATGGCTATGTGAGCTGGCCACCCAGTTCTCTGTTCTTAGGAAGTTCTCTACTTGCCACCTATGGTGTTGCCCCAGGTTGTGAGGGCAGAAGGGCTCTCCAGCAAGTGGTTAGCAGATTGCCAGAAGGCTTAGGGGAGCAGAAAAGCCTTCCCATCTATCCTTTTCACTGTGCTCTGAGTTCCTCAGGAGTCTAAGCCAGACTCTTGCTGTTTTTGTTTTATGTGCCCCAACATCTTCCCATGGGTGATCCAATAGGTCCTGGCTAACTTCCCACCATTTTTCTTTTAAAACTTGACTATTCACTGGTAAATTTGATCTTCTTTCTGAGGAAAATGGGCTTGTAATGTTCCTAGTCAGCCATCTTGAAAAATAAGATAATTAAAAAAAAATAAAAAGACTGGATAAATGGTCTTTTCAGATAGTGGAAAGAAACAAAAATATTGGAATATTTGTAGAAATGAAATAATACATACAGTGAATCTTGTCTTTAAAGATCCTATAGACCAAAGATGAATATGTTGATTACCAAATGGCAGCTATAAAATATTTCTTTAATTTTTCCTCTTTGTTCCATCTCCACCATAACTCTTAATGTAATCACCATCAATTCACATGTGAACTATTGCAAGGGCTTCCTCTCTTCTTCAGTTTTCACCTCAAATCTATTCTTTATAGTACAGCCAGAGATAACTTTAAAATATACAAACCTGAATATGTCACTCTTTTGCTTAAAATCCTTCAGTGGCTTCCCATGTTTTTTGGATATTGTAGAAAATCTTTTACATGTATTATAAGAGTGATAAATGGAATTCACTAATGACATCTATAATCTTGTTTTGAATCTCTCTTCAATACAAACATACTCCAGACAACCTGAACTTAATTCAGTTTCTTCTGCAAGATAAAAATTTTGTCACATCATATTATACAAATGTATACCTGCCAGTCCCTCTGCCTGCAATGATTTATCCCCAGTTTTTGTCAGTGTCTTGCATGTAAATCCTTCAGGACTAAGCTCAGGGAACATTTTCTCACATACAATCTCCTAAAGCAGTGATATGGTTCAGCTGTGTCCCCACCCAAATCTCATCTTGAAATGTAGTTCCCATAATTCCCATGTGTCATGGGAGGGACACAGTGGGAGGTAATCAAATCAGGGGAGCAGGCCTTTCCCATGCTGTTCTCATGATAGTGAATAAGTGTCATGAGATCTGATGGTTTTATAAAGTGGAGTTCCCCTACACATGCTCTCTTGCCTGCCACCATGTAAGATGTGACTTTGCTCCTCATTCACCTTCCACCATGATTGTGAGGCCTCCCCAGCTGTGTGGAACTGTGAGTCAGTTAAACCTCTTTTCATTATAAGTTACCCAGTCTCAGGTATGTCTTTATTAGCAGAGTGAGAACAGACTAATACAACCAGGTATTGTTCCCTTTTCCACAAATCGTAACAATAGAAAGTTTTCCTTTATGGTGCTTACCACCATTGTAATGAAAAACATTTTGTGCAGTATTTTGTTTATCTCCTTACTTGTTACAGTACTCCATAGCCACATCTCCATAGTATTTGTTAAAGAAATGAATGAAGTGTCTGTGTTACTCAGGATAGGATTTTGATCACCTAATTGTTAAATGTATTATCAAAAGATTGATAGTGCTTCTCATAATATTAAATTATATGAAAATATTGGGAAATGCCCTAAGGAGTAAACAAAAACTTAAATGTTAAAAATATAAGTATATATGTCTCTCTCTCTCTGTCTCTCTAATATAGATAGATAGATAGATAGATAGATAGATAGATAGATTCCAAAGCTCTGACACAATTAAAATATAATATGGGATAGTCTATATTTTTGTAATATAGACCTCAAATACACTACCAATAGTAATGAGAAAGATAAGTTTTTGAAATAAATATGTCAATTTTCCAAAGAAAATTAAAACAACAACAAAGACTCATGTCATAATTAATTTTAGTGTATATTTTGTGCCATTTTTATAGTACCTTTTATGAACTCTATAGCACTAACATGATAATAACACCAGGATATACATCCATTACATTGTAATTGTTTAGGAAATGTAGCTCATTAGCCAAAATTAAATGAACATGGAAGAGACTGTTACCTAATATCAATCATAAAAATTATGATAAATACCTGCTTAGCACATAAACTTAATTTAATATGCTATCTTTATTTTAAATATTTATTTCCATATTTCATTTTTATAGTTCAGTGATTTTCAGTAATCTGTGCTTGTGGATCTCATATCAATTTCTTATGAAAGCCATAAAATAAGACTTTCCTTGTCATCAATTTCTACTACACGATCCAAACTGCATAGGTGATGGTAAAGGTAAAGAAGGGTGATAATATATTTTCTGATCTCTAAGATGTTATATTAAAATTAAAATTACTATGACTACCATATTGGATAAACTATTATCATAATGTCATTGGCAATGAAGTAATTTATAATTGCTTGTAGTTCTGGGGTCAATGTGTAAACACCAGGAAAGTACTTGCAAAGTTACTTCTGTAGCTAAATAAAGCTAATATCTCTATGTACTGACATACCTTATGGATGATATATTATCAGTATGGTCCCTCTTAAAGAGAGTAGAGATTAGCGATAGAGTTTTCAACAGATAAAACATGGCTAGAGTTAGGTCACACAGGACTGGAGTATTAGAGCCTCACCCACAAGGGAAGATGCTAAGCTTGGAGTATAGAGCTGATCAAGAAATGATAATGCAGAGGCTAGATCAGAAAGTAGTGTAGTCTCTACCAAGGGCCTGAAGGGTGTTGAAGAAAGATTTTCAAACCAAAGGAAATAGATCCAATATCAAGATCGATATTGGAAGGCCAATTGTTCTGAGTTCTGGATATTAGCTACCTTTAAAATTTCTTTTTACAACTCAATAGAGAAAATAATTTAAAGGGCCAACCACAGGAAAGGTAGTGTTACCCATATGGGCATACTGAAATTGATCCATGTGTAATATTCATTGCTTTCAAATACATATTTAGAATGGTTATTTTTGAAGCATTTGGGAAAAGATTGATTCTGGATGCTGATTGTTCTACGTATTTAGGGCTTAAAATTTTCTGTGATGGAGTTCTACACAGTTTTATTTTATAAGTGTTTCAAATGCCTTGTGCATTATCCTATCCTTAAAGAGAGGGAGTGTAGACAGTGGATAAAGAATGGTCTTTGGAATCCACAGACTTGGATTTGAGTCCTTCTTTTGCTATTAGCTCTGGAATCTTTGTCAATACTGACTTCAGTTTCCTCTCACTCAGTTATAGTATTATATAGTTAAAATTGTACTTTAAAAATATTTCTGGATTCAAATATTCCCATAGTATGCTGCATAATATAGTTTAAATCAGTTAAAGAAATATTTATTGAGCACTTCTGTGTCCCAGAACTTATTTTGAACACTGGTAGGTTTTGAGCTACTTTATTTTTTGTATCAGTTTTGTGTTCATTTCTCCTGAAAAAAATTCATTATGACTTCATAACACATTTTGAATCCTGGAGTATTTACAGTACAGTAATTTAACATCTGCATTACTCATCCCCTTGGGACAGAGGAATTTATAAAATAATTATAAAGATTCAATGAGGGTATAGTTCAAAAAGACACAGAGGATTTGAGAACTTACATTTCTTTGAACAATTTGTGCAGCAAGATTAAACCCATTAGGAAACAAACTGAACAAATGATATGAATCAGAATAGTTTAGTAAACATTACATGATCAAAGCAGAAAACAATATTTTAGTCGTCTACTTATAAATATTTACAAGTCAGGAGAAAATATGTGTTCTGTATAAATCATTTAAATATATATTTGAATTTTTAATACTTTTTGTATACGATTCCAACTTTGAAATCTTTAAATTTTGATTAATTTATTTGTTAATGACAGAGTTTTCAGTGTTTCTTTAAAAAGTCTTGGCCAGTAGTTCACGCCTGTAATCCCAGCACTTTGGAAGGCTGAGGAGGGCAGATCACTTGAGCCCAGGAGTTCAAGACTAGCCTGTGCAACATAGTGGGACCCTATCTCCACAAAAAAATAGAAAAATTAGCCAGATGTGGGGATACATGTCTGCAGTCCCCGCCACTCGGGAGGCTGAGGTGGGAGGATTGTCTGAGCATGGGAGGTTGGGGCTGCAGTGAGCTGTGATTGCACCACTGGACTCCAGCCTGAATGACAGAGGAAGATTCTGTCTCAAAGAAAGAAAAAAATAATAAATTTAATTTAAATTGAATAAAAATAAAGTCTTTATCTCTCAAGCACTTGATGTTTGCTCTTTAAAGATGCTGTATGATGCTTAATTAGACTGTCAAGGATTCATATTTTTGAAGATAAAATTATTAATATCAATGCTTATTTAAAAAACGAGGAGATGATTTTAAAACGTAACTTCCCCTGGGTTTCTTGTTTGCTGGAAATATTTTTCTTTGTCTAGAAAATGTATTTGGTTACCAGTTTTATCCCAGTGATACTGAAATATTTAATTAGGAATTCTGATAGACTAAATGCACTTAAATAATATAAATAATTTAACCAAATGCTTTCATTTTGACCTAGGTATAAACTAGAAGGAAAAGCTTAGTAAAAATCACAATAAATTAAATATTAAAAAGGTTGGATATGGGTAGCTCAGATACCCTTGTACTCAAATCTTGCCACTTAGAGGAATTATGTTAAATCTAAGAGTGTGAAAAAGATTCAATTGACATACATAGTTTCAGAAATATTTTGATCCTATCTACACAATACCATGTCTTTATTTTGATAAAAAAATAAAATTGACAACTTAAAAATTTTATATCACAAAATATAGATACATTATTTGTAGTAGAAGAAGAGTGTAAAGGGAAAAAAAATAGTGCCAGAAGTTAGAAAACCTATTTTTTTCCTAGCTTTGCCACTAATATGTTTTATAAGATTCTGATTTATCATGCCTGAAGTATAGATTATATACTTTCATTTTTACAATT
This sequence comes from Homo sapiens, assembly GCF_000001405.40. Classification (NCBI taxonomy): domain Eukaryota; kingdom Metazoa; phylum Chordata; class Mammalia; order Primates; family Hominidae; genus Homo; species Homo sapiens. Next base: position 92,157,649 of record NC_000004.12, on the reverse strand, counting down.
CAATAAATGATTTAATTACCTTTTCATTTTAATTTTTTAAAAGTTGACAAATAACATTGTACATTTCAATGGAGTACAACATGATGTTTTAATGTGTATATATATATATACTTTAAATATATATACACATATACATGCTTTATATATATATATAAATATATACTTTAAATATATATGTGTACAGTGAAATACTTATATCTAGCTAATTAACAAATGCATTACCTCACATAGTTATCATTTTTGTGGTGACAGCATGTAACATCTACTTTTTTACATTTTTCAAGAATATAATATATATATTCCTTTACTATAGTCACCTTGCTTTACAGTGTATCTCTTGAAATCAATTCCTCCTATAAACTGTAATTATGTATCTTTTAACCAACATCTCCCCGTCAGCCTCTTCCCCCTAACCACCAGTCTCTGGTAACTACTATTACATTCTCCTTCTTCTTCTACTTTTTTGGCTCCCACATATAAGTAAGATCATACAGTATTTGACTTTCTGTGCCTGGCTTATTTCAGTGAACACGATGTCCTCCAGGTTCATCTATGTTGTCACAAATGACAGGATTTCTTTTGTGTGTGTGTGTGGCTGAATGGTATCCCATTGTGTATTTATACCACATTTTCTTTATCCATTTATCTTTTGATGAACACTTAGGTTAATTCTATATATTGGCTACTGTGAAAGGTACTACAATAAACATTAAACCATAAATATCTCTGTGGTATATTCATTTTATTTCCTTGGATAGAAATGGGATTGCTGGATTGTATGATAATTCTATTTTTAATATTTTAAGGAACCTTTCTGAGGTGGCAGATCACTTGAGGTCAGGAGTTCAAGACCAGCCTGGTCAACATGGTGAAACCTTGTCTTTACTAAAAATACAAAAATTAGCTGGACGTGGCGGTGCAAGCCTGTAATCCCAGCTACTCAGGAGGCTGAGACAGGAGAATCACTTGAACCTGGGAGGCGGAGGTTGCAGTGAGCCGAGATTGCATCATTGCACTCCACCCTGGGTGACAGAGTAAGACACGGTCTCCAAAAATAAAAAATAAAATAAGGAACCTCCATGCTGTTTTCCTTAATGGCTATACTAACTTACATTCCCACCACAGAACACTGTGTAAGTGTTGCCTTTCCTCCACATCTTCAAAAACTCTTATCTTTTGTCTTTTCAATAATAGCCATTTTAACTGGGGTGAGATGATTTCTCATTGTGGCTTTGATTTGCAGTTCCCGGATGTTTAGTGAAGTTGAGCATGTTTTCCCTATATTTGTTGGTCATTTGTACATCTTCTTTTGAGAAATGTCTATTCAGGTCCTTTGTCTATTTTGAAATTAAGTTATTTGATTTTTCTGTTATTGTTGTTTGAGTTCCTTATATGTTTTGGATATTAACTCCTTGTCAGATGTATAATTCACAAATATTTTCTCCCATTCTGTAGACCTTCAATGAATTCTGTTGATTTTGCCCTTTGTTGTGCAGAAGGAATGTACCTCAACACAATAAAAGCCATATAAGATCATCCCAAAGTTAATGTCATACTGAACAGGAAAATATTAAAAGACCTCCCTCTAAGATTTGGCATAAGACAAGAACACCGACTTCTATCAATTCTGTTCAACATAGGACTAGTAGTCCTAGTCAGAGCAACAGGGCAATGAGGCAAGAGAAAGAAATAAAAGGCATCCCAATTGAAAGGAGGAAGTTAAATTGTCTCTGTCATTATTGCAGATGACATAATCTTATATATAGAAAACCCTAATGACTCTACCAAAAAACTGTTAGAACTAAAAAATTCAGTTAAGTAGCAGGGTACAAACTCAACATACAAAAAGCTGTGGAATTTCTATAAGGTAATGGTGAACTATTTGAAAAAGAAACTATGAAAACAATCCCATTTACAATATCTTTAAAAAATAAAACCTCTAGGAATACATTTAACCAAAAATATGAGAGATCTCCGCAATGAAAACTATAAAACACTGATGAAAGAAATGAAAGAGGACACAAATAAATGGGAAGATACACTGTCTTCATGGGTGGAAAAATTAGTATTGTTAAAATGTCTGTACTACCCAAAGTGATCTACAGATTCACTCTAATCCCTATCAAAATACCAATGACATTCTTCATTGAAATAGGAAAACAAATTCTAAAATTTGTATGGAACAACAAAAATCCACAAATAGCTATATCAATCTTAAGCAAAAAGAATAAAGCTGGAGGCATAAGCATAACCTGACTTCAAAACATTCTATAAAGCATTAGTAACCAAAACAGCATGATACTGGCATGAAAACAGACACATAGACCAATGGAACAGAGCAGAGATCCCTGAAATACATCCACACATTTACAGCTGATTGATTTTTGGCAAAGGTGCCACAACATACACTGGGGAAAGGACAGTCTTTTCAGTACATGTGATTGGGAAAACTAAATATTCACATGCAGAAGAATAAAATTGGGCTCTTATTTCTAAACATATACAAAAATCAACTCAAAATGAATTAAAGACTTAAATGTATAACCAGAAACTGAAAACATATGGGAAATGCTTGATGACATCAGCATAGGGAATAATTTTTTTTGGATATGAATTTTAAAGCACAGGCAACAAAAACAAAAACCAACAAATGAGATTACATCAAATTAAAAAGCTTATGCACAGCAAAGGTATCTTCATTTTTAACAAACATTTGAGTGATCTGATTCTAAAGTAGATGTTTTTGGTGAACCATGTTGAATAATACTGAATTAGGTGATGCCTGAGGCTATTTCCAAGTTCTGAAGTTCTATGAATTGATAATCAGTGTAATCAGTATCTGGAGAGATATTAGTAACATAAAATGAAAACCATAAAATGAACTTTACTTCTAATTTGCAGGGGAAAAGAATAACCCAGCTGTTTTGTTTTGCTGGTTAATTCTTTTTAATTATCTACATATAAAATAGAAAAAGGAAAATTGAATCACATGGAAAATTCAGTCAAAAAATGCCCTTAAATACTATCTTTAAAGAAGACCGCTGAATTTTTTATATTTCAATAATCCTAACATCCATTAGCTTTTTAGCACTCTGTTACTTACCAGATTATCAGAACTATACTTAATAAATAAAAGATGAATGATTGAAGTGGTAGAAAAATTATCAAAGACTGGGCACAGTGGCTCACACCTGTAATCCCAGCACTAAAGGAGACCAAGCAAGGGATGATAGCTTGAGCCCAGGAGTTCCAGACCAGCCTGGGCAACATAGAAAGATCCCATCTCTACAAAAAAATAAATAAATAAATAAATAAAATAAATAAATAAATAAGACAGGTATAGTGGCATGCACCTGTGGTCCAGCAACTCAGAAGGCTGATATGGGAGGATCACTTGGGCCTGGGAGGTTGAGGCTGCAGATGAGCTACTGTACTCCAAGCTGTGACAGAGCAAGACCTTGTCTCAAAAAAAAAAAAAAAAAAGATAGGTAAAATTATATTTGATATTTTTTAAGAAATTCATCTGTTTACTTTTTATGAATGAATAAAAATCAAATGAACACAAAAATTAAAATATTTTTACTCATTACCACAAATGCATAGAAATATATTCTGATTAAACTTTTCTGTACCAACATTTTAAAGTTGGAGAGGAATTTTGAAATCTTTTTTTTACTTTTTCAAACAGATTTACCAAACAACATAAATGAAGCTGACATGAAGTTTACTAAGAAAACTTTAAATTTTAAATAAACTAAAATTTTAAGAATAAAAAGAAAAAGAAAGCTAGAAGATTTACAAGATTGTCTCTTGTCCCAAATCATACCATAAATAATTTTTGTTTGTATGTTAAATAAAAATAGAATTATGATTATATTTTGTTTTTCATTTTATTTTTCTGTATTAAAATGATTAATTTACCATATATTTACTTCTATATATACATGAGGTAAAAGGGAAAAAAATATTGCATTTTTTTTCTTGCTATTTCCATTTTAATGATTTATTCTCACGGACAGAAAGGTGCTTGTATATAATTTGTATGATACAATATAAACAAATATGTCCATAAAGGCAAATGATTATTTTACATAAAAAAGTGTTCAATGTATTAGTCATCAAGAAATATATATATATATATATATATATATATATATATTTTTTTTTTTTTTTTTTTTTTTTTTTGAGACAGAGTCTCGCTCTGTCGCCCAGGCTGGAGTGCAGTGGTGCAATCTCAGCTCACTGCAAGCTCCACCTCCCGGGTTCATGCCATTCTCCTGCCTCAGCCTCCAGAGTAGCTGGGACTATAGGCACCTGCCACCATACTTGGCTAACTTTTTTGTATTTTTAGTAGAGATGGGGTTTCACCATGTTGGCCAGGCTGGTCTCGAACTCCTGATCTCTGGTGATCCACCCACCTCGGCCTCCCAAAGTGCTGGGATTACAGGTGTGAGCCACCACACTGGCCAGAAAATACAAATTTTAAAAAAATATGTTTCTACCACCCATTCATCAGAATGACTAAAATTTTAAAAGCTGATAAAATCAAATGTTGAGAAAAATGTGAAATAATTGGAATTTGTATACGTATTTGGTAGAATGGTAAAATGATACAACCATTTTAGAAAAGGTCTGAAGGCTCATAACAAAAGTAATTATACAGTTTACCCTTGAACAACATGAGTTTTAAGTGCGAGGATCCACTTACATTCTGAATGTTTTTCAACCAAGTGGATTGAAAATACAATATTAACAGGATGTGAAACCCCTGTATATGGAGGGGCAATATATGCAGGGCCAACTGTGGGACTTGAATATGTGGGGATTTTGGTATATACAAGGGTCTGGGAATGAATTCCATGTATCCTGGGAGGCAACTGTATACCTTCCCTGTAACCTACCATTCCCACTTCTAGGTGTTTACCAAATAGAAATAAAAACATATTGACAAAATACTTGCGTAAGACTATTCATAACAGTTTTATTCATAGCAGTCAGAAATTAAAAAGTCAAAAAATTATAGATGTTGGCATAGACGTGGTGAAAAGGGAACACTTTTACACTGCTGTTGGGAATGTAAACTAGTACAACCACTATAGAAAATAGTATGGAGATTCCTTAAAGAACTAAAAATAGAACTACCATTTGGTCCAGCAATCCCACGACTGGGTATTTACCTAAAGAGGAAAGAAATCATTATATGAAAGACACATGCACAGGGATGTTTATAGCAGCACAATTCACAATTGCAAAAATGTGGAGCCAACATAAGTGCCCATCAACCAATGAATGGATAAAGAAAAGATGGTATATATACACCATGGAATGCTACTTAACCATAAAAAGAATTGAAATAATGTCCTTGTAGCAACTTGGATGGAACTGAAGGCCATTATTCTAAGTGAAGTAACTCAGGAATAAAAATTCAAATATCCTATGTTCTCACTTGTAAGTGGGAGCTAAGCTATGAGGATGCAAAAGCATAAGCGTGATATAATGGACTTTGGGACTCGGGGAAGGGGAAAGGGTAGAAGGTGGGTGAGGAAAAAAATACTACATATCAGGTACAGTTTACACTGTTTGTGTGACAGGTGCACCAAAATCCCAGAAATCACCACTGAATAATTTATGGATGTAAGTAAAAAAACACCTGTACCCCAAAAACTATTGAAATAAAAAAATTAGAGATGGAGCTAGTGTCAATAGTAGAATGGATAAACAAAGTAAGATATTGCAAAGACATTGCTTTGCAAAAGAATACAGAAATATCTTTGGTATAATTATTCTTTTCTTTGTGTAGATATCCAATAGTGAGATTGCTGAATTGAATGGTAGTTCTATTTCCAGATCTTTGATAAATTTCTGTACGATTTTCCATAGAGGTTGTACTAATTTACATTCCCACCAATAATGTATAAGTGTTCCCTTTTCTCCACATCTTCAACAACATCTGTTTTTTTTTTTTTGTCTTTTTAATAATAGCCATTTTGACTGGTGTAAGATGATACCTCATTATGGTTTTAATTTGTATTTCTCTGATAATTAGTGATGTTGAACATTTTTTCATATACTTGGACATTTGTGTGTCTTTTGAAAAATGTCAATTCATGTCCTTTGCCCACCCTTTAATGGGATTATTTTTGTTGTGGTGGTGGTTGTGGTTGTTGTTGAGTTGTTTGAGTTTTTTGTATGTTCTGCATATTACTCCCCTGTCAGATAGATAGTTTACAAATATTTTCTCCCATTCTGCAGATTGTCTGTTCCCTCTGTTGATTTTAGCTTTTGCAGAAGCTTTTTAGTTTAAATCCCACTTGTCTACTTTTTTTGTTTTGTTTTGTTGGTTGTGCTTTTAAGGTCTTAATCATGAATTCTTTGCAAAGACCAGTATCCAGAAGAGTTTTGTCTATGTTTTCTTCTAATAGTTTCACAGTTTTAAGTGTTACATTTAAGTTTTAATCCACTTTGAGTTGATTTTTTTATATGGAGAGAAATGGAGTCAAGCTTCATTTCATTCTTCTGAATATGGCAACCCAATTTTTCCAGTACCATTTACTGAAAAGAGTGTGCTTTCCACCGTGTATGTTACATTTGACTGTTAAAGATTACTTGGCTGTAGATATGTGACTTTATTTCTAGGTCCGTTGATCTATGTGTCTGCTTTTATACCAGTATCATCCTGTTTATTTACTATAGTGTTGTAGTGCAATTTGAAGTCAGGTAGTGTGATGCCTCCAGCTTTGTTCTTTTGGCTTAGGATTGCATTGGCTATTTGGGCTCTTTTTTAGTTCTATATTAATTTTAGGATTGCTTTGCCTACTTCTGTGAAAAATGATTTTGGTAGTTTGTTAGGAAAATCGAATCTGAAAACTGCTTTGGGCAGTATGGTCATTTAATGATGTTAATTCTTCCAATCCATGAGCATGAGATGTTTTTTCATTTTTTTCCATTTGTTTGTTATCTCCAATTTCTTTCAGCAGTGTTTTGTAGTTCTCTTTATAGAGATATTTTTTCTCATTGGTTAGATGTTTTCTTAGGTATTTCAAATGGAATTATGTTCTCGATCTAACTATTGTAAACGGAACTGTGTTCTTGATCTAATGTTATTGGTGTATGGAACTGCAACTAATTTTTGTACATGGATGTTGCATCCTGAAACCTTACAAAAATCATGTTTGTCAGTTCTAGGAACCTTTTGGCAGAGTCTAGTGTTTTCTAAGTAAAGAATATTGTCAGCAAAGAGAGATAGTTTGACTTCTTCTTTTTCTGTTTGGATGTCTTTTTTTTTCTTTCTCTTGCCTGTTGCTCTGGCTAGGACATTCAGTACTATGTTGAATAGGAGTGATGAAAGTGGGCATCCTTGTCTTGTTCCAGTTCTCAAGTGGAATGTTACAAGCTATTCCCCATTCAGTATGATGTTGGCTATGGGTTATTTATTTTATTATTATACTTTAAGTTCTGGGTTACATGTGCAGAACGTGCAGTTTTGTTACATAGGTATACACGAGCAATGGTGGTTTGCTGCACCCATCAACCCATCACCTACATTAGCTATTTCTCCTAATATTATCCCTCCCCTAGCCCCTCACCCCCCAACAGGCCCCAGTGTGTGATGTTCCCTTCCCTGTGGCCATGTCTTCCATTGTTCAACTCCCCACTTATGAGTGAGAACATGCAGTGTTTGGTTTTCTGTTCTTATGGTAGTTGGCTGAGAATGATGGTTTCCAGCTTCATCCATGTCCCTGCAAACGACATAAACTCATACTTTTTATGGCTGCATAGTATTCCGTGCTGTATATGTGCTACATTTTCTTAATCCAGTCTATCATTGATGGACATGTGGGTTGGTCCCAAGTCTTTGCTATTGTGAATACTGCCACAGTAAACATACGTGTGCATGTGTCTTTATCATAGAATGATTTATAATCCTTTGAGTATACGCCCAGTGATGGAATTGCTGGGTCAAATGTTGTTTCTAGTTCTAGATCCTTGAGGAATCACCACACTGTCTTCCAGAATGGTTGAACTAATTTACACTCCCACCAACAGTGTAAAAGCATTCCTACTTTTCCACAACCTCTCCAGCATCTGTTGTTTCCTGACTTTTTAATGATCACCATTCTAACTGGCGTGAGATGGTATCTCATTGTGGTTTGGATTTGCATTTCTCTAATGACCAGTGATGATGGGCATTTTTTCATATGTCTGTTGGCTGCATAAATGTCTTCTTTTGAGAAGGGTCTGTTCATATCCTTTGCCCATTTTAGAGGGGGTTGTTTGCTTTTTTCTTGTAAATTTGCTTAAGTTCTTTGTAGATTCTGGATATTAGCCCTTTATCAGATGGATAGATTGCAAAAATTTTCTCCCATTCTGTAGGTTGCCTGTTCACTCTGATGATAGTTTCTTTTGCTGTGCAGAAGCTCTTTAGTTTACTTACACACCACTTATCAATTTTGGCTTTTGTTACCATTGCTTTCGGTGTTTTAGATGTAAAGTCTTTGCCCATGCCTATGTCCTGAATGGCATTGCCCAGGTTTTCTTCTACGATTTTTATGGTCCTAGGTCTTACGTTTAAGTCTTTAATCCATCTTGAATTAATTTTTGTATAAGGTGTAAGGAAGGGATCCAGTTTCAGTTTTCTGCATATGGCTAGCCAGTTTTTCCAACACCATTTATTAAATAGGGAATCTTTTCCCCATTGCTTGTGTGTGTCAGGTTTGTCAAAGATCAGATGTTGGTGGTTGTGTGGTGTTATTTCTGAGGACTCCATTCTGTTCTGTTGGTCTATATATCTGTTTTGGTACCAGTAACACGCTGTTTTGGTTACTGTAGCCTTGTAGTAATATTTGAAGTCAGGTAGCATGATGCCTCCAGCTTTGTTCTTCTTGCTCAGGATTGTCTTGGCTATGTGGGCTGTTTTTTGATTCCATATGAAGATTAAATTAGTTTTTTCCAATTATGTGAAGAAAGTCAGTGGTAGCTTGATGGGGTCGCATTGAATCTATAAATTACTTTGGGCAGTAAGGCCATTTTCATGATATTGATTCTTCCTATCCCTGAGCATGGAATGTTTTCCATTTGTTTGTGTCCTCTCTTATTTCCTTGAGCAGTGGTTTGTAGTTCTCCTTGAAGAGGTCCTTCACATCCCTTGTAAGTTGGATTCCTAGGTATTTTATTTTCTGAGTAGCAATTTTGAATGGGAGTTCACGCATGATTTAGCTCTCTGTTTGTTATTGGTGTATAGGAATGCTTGTGATTTTTGCACATTGATTTTGAATCCTGAGACTCTGCTGAAGTCGCTTATCAGCTTAAGGAGATTTTGGGCTGAGACAATGGGGTTTTCTAAATATACAATTATATCCTCTGCAAACAGAGACAAATTTGACTTCCTCCCTTACTATTTGAATACCCTTTATTGCTTTCTCTTGCCTGATTGCCCTGGCCAGAACTTCCAATACTATGTTGAATAGGAGTGGTGAGAGAGGGCATCCTTGTCTTGTACTGGTTTTCAAAGGGAATGCTTCCAGTTTTTGCCCATTCAGTATGATACTGGCTTTGGGTTTATCATAAATAGCTCCTACTATGTTGAGATATGTTCCACTGATACCTAGTTTATTGAGAGTTTTTAGCATGAGAGGCTGTTGAATTTTGTTGAAGGCCTTTTCTGCATCTATTGAGATAATCATATGGTTTTTGTCATTGGTTCTGTTTATGTGATGGATTATGTTTATTGATTTCCGTATGTTGAACCAGCCTTGCATCCCAGAGATAAAGCTGACTTGATCGTGGTGGGTAAGCTTTTTAATGTGCTGCTGGATTCAATTTGCCCATATTTTATTGAGGATTTTTGCATCGATGATCATCAGGGATATGGCCATGGGTTTTTTATAATTGGGTGTTATTATTTTGTGGTATGCTACTTCAGTGCCTCATCTGTTGATAATTTTTATCATGAAGGGATTTTGGATTTTATCACATTTTTTCTGCATTTATTGAGATGATCATATGGTTTTTGTTTTTAATTCTCTTTATGTGGTGAATCGTACTTAATTGATTTTTGTATGTTGAATGAGACTTGCATCCCAGGAATAAAACCTGCTTGATTATGATGTATTAACTTTTCGATGTGCTGAAGGGTTCAGTTTGCTTGTAAATTGTTGAGGATTTTTGTGTCTTTGTTCATCAGGGGTATTGGCCTGAAGTTTTAATTTTTGTCGTGTCTTTGCCAGGTTTTGGTATTAGGCTGTTGCAGGTTTCATAGAATGAGTTTGGTAGGATCCCCTCCTTCTTGATTTTCTGGAGTAATTTCAATAGAATCAGTACAAGCTCTTCTTTGTACTACTGGTAGAATTCGGCTGTGAATCCATTTGATCCAGGACTTTTATTGGTTGGTAGGTTTTGTATTACTGATTGAATTTCAGAGCTTAATATTGGCTGATTCAGAATTTCAATCTCTTCATTATTCAATCTTGGGGGATTGTAAGTTTTCAGGAATTTATCCATTTCCTCTAGATTTTGACATTTGCATGCATAGAGTTGTTCATATTGTTCTCTGAGAATCTTTTGTATGTCTGTGAAATCAGTTGTAATGTTATGTTTATTATTTTTGATTTTACTTGTTTGGGTATTGTCTTTTTTTTTCGTTAATCTAGCTATCAGTATATCACTCTTGTTTACTTTTTGAGGAACCAACTCAATTTCATTGACTTTTCAATGAATATTTGTATCTCAATTTCATTCAGTTCTTCTGTATTTTAGTTATTTTTTTTTCTGCTAACTTAAGGGATGGTTTGTTCTTTTTTTTTTTTTCTAATTTCTCTATGTTCAAAGTCAGATTGTAATTTTAGATTTCTCTACCTTGTTCATGAAGAGATTTAGCACTACAAACTTTTAACACTGCTTTAGCTGCATCTCAGTGATTTTTTTGTATATTGTATTTCAATTTTTATTAATTTCAAATAATTTTTGTTTTTTCCCTTATTTTCGATGTTTACCCGAGTTATTCAGGAGCAAGTTGTTTGATTTCCATGAATTGGTGTAGTTTTGATAGATCTTCTTGATACTGATATCTGTTTTAATTTCACTGTGGTCTGAGAGTGTGCTTGGTGTGATTTCAATTTTTTTGAATTCATTGAGACTTGCTTTATGATTGACCATATGGACAAACCTGGAATATGTTCCATGTGCAGATGAGAAGAATGTATATTCTGTAGTTGTTTAGTGGAGTGTTCTGTAGATGTCCAATGGATCCAGTTGGTCAAGTGTCAAGTTTAAGTCCAAAGTTTGGTTAATAGTTTTCTGCCTTGATGATCTGTTTACAGCTGTCATTGAGATGTTGAAGTGTCCCATTGTTATTTTGTGATTGCGTACGTCTTTTTGTAGGCCAAGAAGAACTTGCTTTATGAATCTGGGTGCTCCAGTGTTGGGTGCATATATATTTGGGATAGTTAATTCTTCTTCTTGGATTGTACTCTCTATCATTATTTAATGTTCTTCTTTGTCTTTATTTTTATTGGTTTGAGATCTGTTTTAGCTGATAGAAGAATATTGACTCCTGCTCTTTTTGGCTTTCCATTTGGATGGTAGATATTACTCTATCCCTTTACTTTGAGCCTGTTGATGTTGTTAAATGTAAGATGAGCCTCTTGAAGACAGCAGATGGCTGGGTCTTGTCTTTTTATCCAGATTACCACTCTATGCCATTTAAATGGGAGCATTTAACCCATTTACATTTAAGGTTAGCATTGATATTGTATTCACTAGTGTAATGGCCTGTGACTTATTTATCCACCATCTCCAGCACCAGAATTGATCAATATCAGTATGAGTTTTTACCAATCCTAAAAAATGCAAGCCATTTTAAAATGCATTAACTTACAAACTTTAAAATACAGCAACTCATTTATGAGTTTCAAATATGAGGGTAGTTTGAAAAAGTCATGAATATGTTTACATATTTCTTGTAAATAGCATTGGTTATGCAAATCTAGTAGTTAAAAAATTGAATTTACCTACTGTTATGATAATTCTTGTCTCTATTAAAATGTGTAGGTGCTCAGAACATTCATATGTTAACTTTTTCTATATCTCTTCTTAACTTACACTCACATACTTTGTTAGAAAAAAATCTATTAAAAGATGATCTACTGAACATAGAGTTAAACAATACCTCCTACATGGGGTTTTGCTTTATTCATCAAATTCAGAGCTGAAAAGGAGAAAAAGTGTGACAACTGAAATTTTTAACTAGAGTAAGTGTCCTGATAGACATTTAAATACAATTTTCATACAAATGGTGGGTATCTCAATCAATGTAGATATGTAAACATCTCAGTAAATGAAGAATTTGAGTTGGCATTTGTATAGTAGTTTGAGAGCTTTGAATTTGCAATTTAATTCATTAACATAGATAATTTTTAGAGATATCAAAATGGAAAGAAAAAATGTAATTTTACTGATGAAGACACTAAGTGCTAAATGTTTTGTCTAATATATCAAAATTGATAAATACAGAGTAAAGATAAGAACTGAACACTTAATACCACAATATAGTTGTCATGCTCTAATATTTCCATACAAACCATTTACTGGGTATTGAGATAAACACACATCCACACGGAATTTTAACACTGTGCAGAAGTTTCCACATACAGCAATCTCCTAAGAGCTTTAAATTGACATAGAGCAGTTCTTTTATCTTATTCTCTGTACTCCAACTCCAGCTTTTGTTTACCAAGGAAAATCCAATGAGTGATTTTGGAGTAGATGGGTATTTATAGGATTCTTTCATTCTATAAGATATTTCAAGTGGTTTTATTGCTGGCATATTATCTCAAGTTTACACTATAATTCAAAGAGTTCATGTCTTAGATAAAAACAAAAGATCAAAAGATGATTGCCCACACTGCAATTAAAACAAGCTAGAATCAGGAAGACTCCTTACAACACTTTTTGCATGTCTCAAAAACCACTACATTAGACTGATTCTAAACAGGAAACCATCTAATGCTTAAGATAAAATTCTTAGTTTTAATAAAAATTAATGCATACATATTTACAAATATATTTTAAATAAATGTATGGTTACTAAATTAGTATGTTTTTATTTTATAAATATTTCTAAGAAATATATCCATATTCAATAATCAATAAGAAAAGAAATTATAATAATGCATACCAGTTCTGCAAACTGGGGATTATGCTTTATACAGGTTATTAGTGGATCTCTATAGGACCGTGAGCCATGAAAGCCAAAGACGATTTTCTAAATAGGCATAGTAAGAAGTCATGATTTTGTAATTGTGTACTCACCAATTGAGGTTGTTTGGGAGGTGGTAACTCAGGCATACAGAGATAAGTATCCAAGTGTGTTCTTGTTATTTTACACTCTGTATTGATTGCTTACATGGCCTGAATTGAAATGGACTGTGAGAACTAACATGGGCTTATTTGCCTGGCTGCTTGAGTGATTCAGATTAGGTTATTCAGCAGGAATACTCTGGCAGGAGGGAGCTCTAGGTCAACAGCCTAAAATTCAAACATAAGGACTCTCTCTAAATGGGAAGGTGCTTTAGGAGAAAAGAGAAGAGATACAATTTTTCAGAGAAATCACCGATATATTTTCAGTTTTACAAGGATTGAAGAATTAAAAATGAGTAGTAACTTAGCATGCATATCCATTACAAAACTTATTTCTGTAACCATTTTATCGCCACTTGCATCCTCCCTCTACCAACATTTTGTTCTCTCTTTTTCAGGGTGAGGTTGAGCCCTAAAAGAATTCTACCCATTTTCTTCCAGCCTTGATACATTCATTCTGAAAATCACCACATCAAATTGCTAGAGCCAGGCCTACCCATGAGTGTACATAGCGTTTTCATTGTCAGTATAATTCTGGTGACCACGTAAGTTAGTAAAATCAGACCTTCTCTGGCTGGATGTGTAGAGACCCTTTCAAATATAATATTGTCTACAGTGTGTTTCTGTGGCAGTCTACTTTTTCTGAAGAAAAACTCAATATTTGCATCCTTATCACCTGGCCTATTTTTTAAAAAACACATACAATATTACACTTGAATAACGGCTGGCTTAAGAGCTGCACGAGAACCTCCATGGTAACTATTTTGGTGAAAAAATATTTCAATGACATTTTCATAAATCTGTTGTTTTGGTGTGTAGGCTTCTGTAAATAGATGACTCTATGGAGATAGAACATCATGAGGATTTAGAGGGCAAACACTTTAACATACTTGTGGGAGGAATGATGTTTGGGAAGTAGGCTGGCAGTGTGTTTTTACTTCGATTAAGATAATCTAAAGCTATGCCTCTATATGCAAGATGGATTCAAAGACTCTGTGGGTCTGGTCCACTTTTTGTTTTTATGAGGTATCCACATTGTAGTACTTAGGTAAACTTAGGTTTACTAGTCACTGCACCTTGCATGGTTGTAACATTTGTGGCAAATATATAGTCAAATTCAATCCTATTGGCACTTACACAAGGCTGGCTTCAAATCTAAATTTGTAAACATCAGACTGGGTTACAATGAGGTGTTTTATTGTTATTGTTGTTTTGGGAGAAGGATGTCCTAGTGTTTATTAATTATATACCAATGCTGGGAATCAACAGGAAATGTGGGAGTTACTATGCTGGCTAGGGTGATTGATGTTGACTACCAAACAGAAATAGATAACTTCGGGAAAGTTAAGAAAAACAGGCTGCAAGTTGACAAGAATAGGCATAGAACTGGGACTTTGGTCCATCTACCTCTATAATCCAGTTTCCTGCCATTGTATCAAGCTATTTGAATTTGTTTGGGTTATCTAGAGAAACAGAACCAGTAGTAGATATATCCATAAAGATATTTATTACAAGGAACTGGCTCATGCAATTATGGAGACTGAGAAAATCCCAAGATCTACACTTGGCAAGCCGGAGACCCCAGAGAGCTGGTGGTATAGTTCCAGTTCAAGTTTAAGTCTGAAGGCAAAAGACTAATGTCCATGTTCCAACACAATGAGGCAGAAAGAAAGGATTTTTCCTTCCTCAGCCTTTTTTTTTATTTTCTTCTAATCAGGCCTTCAACTAATTAGATGAGGTCGACCCACTTGGGGAAGGGTAAGCTGCTTTACTCGGTCTACCAATTGTTTATCTTATCCAGAATCAGAATTACCGTCATAGATACACACACAATAATGTTTAACCAAATATCTGGGCACCAGGTGACCCAGTCAACCTGACATACAAAATTAAATATCACAAGTCCTTTCTTTATCTAGCTGGCACCCATAAGCATGTCCTTAAACCATACTTAATGTCCAAAAAAAAAAACAAAGTCCTAATTTCTCCTACATGTTATAAATATCCTGCATACCACTGAAAGTGCAATAACCTTTTCCTCAGGACAGTAGGTAAAGTTCTTGAGTGACATTTACTCTTCTTCTTGATATCTTGTAACTTAAATAAAAATCAATAAATATTGTGATATATAAATATCATGTAGCTCAGGCTACATGATAAAGGAATAAGAGAGGGCAAGAAAACAAAGATTGCATATGTATATACACACAAACACACACATATTTTAATAAAATAGGAAGATACTCATGATAATTACTGCCCTTGTTTGCATAAGTTGTCATATGGTCATAGCTGGAATTTATAACTACCTTCTTCCACTACCTATTCTATATTCTTTTGTGTCCAGCAAGTACCTCAGCTGATTGTGTTCTTTACTTGAAGATATGACCCCAGCTTTCATTTCTGAAGGATCCAGGCCATTAGTACTCCTATTTGGATTTGGTTGTTGTAATTTTCCATTGACCTTAATCATTGATGGTAATACTAAGAGATGCATAAAGGATCTCATATATTTTGTACATACTCTTCTTTACCTCCATTGTGGAGTGGTTGTCTATTTCTTTTTCGTAGTCAACATCAATCGCCTCAGCCAGCATAGAAACTCCCACCTTTTCTGTTGATTTAGAGCATGAGGACTTCATAGTGGCCAGGAGGCAGTGTTAAATTCGAGTTCAGGGGAATCATTGTCTTGTGGTCGAAGGATTCTTTGCCTTAAAACTAAGACCTCTAGACCATCAGAGCATAAGGTCATGGGAACAGGAATCAAAAATTTGCTTGTGGGTAACCAGGGGTAACAGTGAGTAGTGCCACTCCCATTTCCACTATTTGATTCCTAGACCTGTGAATTCTGGCAACAGGAAACATAGCACCATATATTTGGACACTGAGTTAGAGCCTATACAGCATTCTAGAAAACCTTGCCCCAATTATGTAAGTATTGCCACCTAGCTGATGCTGTAACTGACTATTCAAAAGGCCATTCCACTGTTCTATCAAGCCAGCATTTTTAGAATGGCTGGAAACATGAGGAGAACAGTGAATTCCGTGAATGTGGACCCACTGCTACACTTTGTCTATAAAGTGAGTTTCTTGATCTGAAACAATGCTGTTCAGAATACCATGACACCCTATGCAAGAATACACAGCATGCCTATTAGTGGTCAATGTAGCAGTGGTCAAATCGTTGTAGATTTGAGGTTTCATGTACCTGTTAAGGCATGAGGTGAATCATAAGTGGATTTTAAGCAGTGGTATGCTGGGAAATATTTAAAAGTTGGCTTCTTCGAGAAGAAAAATCAACATACCAAACCTTGCTTTGTAGTGTTTTCTAATTTTCATGGTGTAAATACTCATTCTGTGACTGATTCCAAGCTACCAAATGTACTTACTAAATGAAAAGTTGGAAAGTGATTTTTGTAGAGCAGTATGTTGTATGGTATTTCTACCATACAGTACAATAGACATAAATAATCTCAAAATAATAGCAAAATAGGTAATAGTAAATGCTAAATAATAAATTCCAAGTAAAATAAATGGAAACTGATTAGTTTTAAGTATTGATTCCCTATGATATTATTATAATCTACTTCACTATACATTTATATAATTTAATATTTAGTAATAGCTGTATTTAACATCAACTACACAAAATTTTTTAAAAATTTAATAATTGCTTTGTCCAGGTATAAGCCTTCTCCAACATATCACTGAATAAATGGTTTTATATTAATGCAAAAAAGATGATCTAGTTTTACCTCAGCAAATATAATAATAACCACATTATGATGAGGAAATTACCTGAATGGAAATGCAAATGACCCTTGAGAAAATGGAACTAATTTATAATATCCTGTGACAGTTTCCTAGGCTCTTGTACGTAAATATTTAGGTAGCTTATCATGGGTGGTAGAATGCCAAGTTTCCATTAAAACATCACAGGACATCAATATCCTTACAGAAGCATTTCTTTCTTCTTTCTCTCTACTGCTCCATCCCTTCCTCAGAATCATCCCTTTGATGCCCTAACCCTGGGTCACAAAAATTGCTAACTGGAAAGTGTAGTTCTTTGGAGGTAGGAAATATGAAGTTTCAGCTTGGCTTTTCCACTAATTCCAAGTAAAAACTTGAGTAAAATGCAATCTGTCTGAGACTGAGTTTGCTAAATTAAGAGAAGGCATTCACCAGATTAACCAGATGATCTCTAAAGTCTTCTAGCCTTAATAATGTGTGATTAATATCTCTCAGAATATTTATTTAGGTGATCAGATTGACTTTTGCTCACTATCATAGAAGTTGAACATAGGCCATCAATCAGATGGATACTCACAGTCTACTTTAAAAAAAATGGTTTCCTGCGTTAAGTAGATCCGATCAAATATTTAGGAATTAAATTTGATTTGTACTGCTCTGGATATAGTCAAGCAAACTGAACATCAGGATACTACCCCAATCAGTTCCTATACATATTGTGTGCAGTAATTCCCTTCTTGGTTAATGGTAAGCACATTTCCCTGATGGTCTATGGAGAATTTGGATGGAATAAAAGTTTGAAAAGTACAGCTGAATGACATTTAAGTTAAAATGCATTTTCTTAGGCTGCAGGTGGTCACTAATATTAATGAAATATAGGCCACACCTGCTCATCTAATCTTAGCAAATATTATAGTAAATCCTTAGTAAATTCTACCGGCATTTAACCAAACAAGAAGAAAATTTGTCCCTTAAATTGTATGATTGGACAGCCTTGAAATATCTAATTAGTTTTGAAAATACTCTTTCTAAAGATTTAATTTCTTAGTCTCTATGATTCAAATCCAATTTAATAGAAAATGTTTTTTCAACAACAATTGAAACTAGTCTTAATGAATACATCTCAAAATAGGGAGACAACACATGTAAGGGCAAACCAAAAATGTTCTCCTTTACAGGGATGTGCTGGAGTATTGTTATTTGTAGTGCTTTGGAAAAGAAATGAATTGGTTTATCTACTGCAGCTCACATATGAAAAACTGCTCACTTGTATAGCAGGGTAATCTCACAACTCATGAGTATAGTTGTTTTAACATAGTCACAAAAGGCCAAACTAAATATAAACCTAGTTTCTAATATCCCCCAGTAAACCTTGTACCAACCCATGTTTACAAATTAAAGACTGAAGTTCCCTGTTGACATTTTCTTCATGATATTATTTAATCCAGTTAATCTAATCTATCTGCTTACCCACTTACTCACAATACTGGGCTAGGTACTTGAAGAGATAAAAAGCTGATCTCAAGTTTTCATTTAAGATTGATAAAAAGAGAGACATAGAGTAACTAGAAAATATAGCTACTTCCTAGCTAGGTGACTTTGGGACAATTAATTAAACATTCTAAACCACAATTTCCCATCCTTAAAATGAGTATAATTATAGTATGTAAATTGTTTATTTGATATAAGCATTAGATGAGAAAATGTATTAAAAAGGTATTTAGACTAACACTTGGAATGTAGAAAGCTCTTGTGTTATTAGCATACTGTTAATATATATGTCACACACAAAGTGCGAGCAACTTGATATGAAGACCAAAGTAGTAAGAGATCACAACCAATCAGGAGCATCTTTAGCAAAGGTCTTTGGTTTGGACTTTAAATGATGAAAATAATTTTTATAGCAGATATTTAGATTTGAATAACGATATGGTTTGGTTGTGTCTCCACTCAAATCTCATCTTGAATTGTAGCTCCCATAATTTCCACTTGTGGGAGGGACCCAGTGGGAGATAAGGGAATCATAGGGACAGTTTCCCCCATACTGTTCTCATGGTAGTGAACAAGTCTCAAGAGATATGATGGTTTTATAAGGGGTTTCTGCTTTCGCTTGGTTCTCATTCTCTCTTGCCTACTGCCATGAAAGACATGACATTGCTCCTCCTTGGCCTTCTGCCATGATTGTGAGACCTCCCCAGCCAGTGGAAATGTGAGTCAATTAAAACTCTTTCCTTTAGAAATTACCCAGTCTCAGGTGTGTCTTTATTAGCAGCATGAGAACAGACTAATACAAATAGGAAAACAGGGCATTTTAAAAAGAAAATCTGCTATGAATCGAGCGATGGAGCTGAATATACAGGATATATTTGGAAATAGCATAGTCCAGTTTGATTGGAGCATGAGGTATTTGTTAGTATGTAGAATAAGGCAAACCAAGAAAGGTAACTTTGGTTCACATTGTGGAAAACTTTAAAGGGTGAAGTTTGTAGGTTATTTTAAAGGAAAGAAGTGTTCACTGAACATTTTTATCAGGGGAATGACATAAATGTAGGTATGGTGTTTCTTATTAAAGTGTTGACAAGAATGAGATGAAGCAAATTATTGTAGTGTGGAGTACATTTTAGAAAGCTATTTTAAAAGTTCAGATAAGATAATAAGAACAGGTCTAATGGCAATGGAAAGGAAGAAATGGCTTCAGAAGTATAATCTGTAAAGAATAATTAGTTATAGATTTCTGAGAGGAGTTAAGGATGTTTCTAAACTCTGTTTATAAATGGTTCTATTTTCCAAAATAGACATGTTATAAGAAGGCCGGGTGCGGTGGCTCACGCCTGTAATCCCAGCACTTTGGGAGGCCGAGGCGGGCAGATCATGAGGTCAGGAGATCAAGGCCATCCTGGCTAACACGGTGAAACCCCATCTCTACTAAAAATACAAAAAAAAAAAAAAAAAAAAAAAAAAATTAGCTGGGCGTGGTGGCGGGCGCCTGTAGTCTCAGCTACTCATGAGGCTGAGGCAGGAGAATGGCATGAGGCCACTGCACTCCAGCCTGGGTGACAGAGCGAGATTCCATCTCACAAAAAAAAAAAAAAAAAAGTTGCTGGTTTATAATCGGGGAAGATAATGAGAACAAATTTGGCGATATCTTATGTCCTATTAATACCTAGAATTTCGTTTCTATCTCATGCTTCTTCTCATTGAAATTGCTGTTCTAATTCCCAGAATTCTGGCTGAGAAAATAGAGGTATAATTAACCCTGCTTTGTGGCACAGTTGATGTGGATGCCTGACCCAATTTCTTCTTCCAAAAATCTGAGATTATATTAAATATGTTTGAGTGAGTTTTGACACTCAAGCTGGAATGCCTGGAGAAACAGAACTAGAGAAAACCAGAAAAAGCCAGTCTCCAGAGAGAATTAATAACAAATCCAGTGTGTGGAGAGAAAGAAATGAGAAACCATTGAGCATTAGAGATCAGAGAGAGTATTCTTGGTTTCTGAACTTCCAGTTTTATAAAAATGTTTTTATTAGTACATATTTGTACATATTTATGGAACACAAGTGGTATTTTGATACCTGCAAACAATGTGTAATGATCAAATCAGGGTATTTAGGATACCATCACCTCAAACATTTATCATTTATTTTTGTTGGGAACATTTCAAATATTCTTTTCTAGTTATTTTAAAATATTAAAGATCTAAAGACACAAATACCATTCGACCCAGAAATCCTTACCCAAAGGAATATAAATCATTCTATTATAAAAACACATGCACGCATTTGTTTATTGCAGCACTATTCATGATGGCAAAGACATGGAATAAACCTAAATGCCCATCAATGATAGACTAAATAAAGAAAATGTGGCATAAATATACTATGGAATACTATGCAGCCATGAAAAAGAACAAGATTATGTCCCGTGCAGAAACATGGGGGCCATTATCCTTTGGAAAGTAACACAGGAAGAGGAAACCAAATACTGCATGTTCTCACTTATAAGTAGAAGCTAAATGATGAGAACATGTGGACAAATAGTGACCAATACAAACTGGAGCCTTTTAGAGGGTGGAGGGTGGGAGGAGGAGGAGAGTCAGGAAAAATAACTGAGGGGTACTAGGCTTAATACCTGGGTGATGAAATAATCTGTACAACAAACCCCTATGACACAAGTTTACCTATGTAAAAAACACGCTCTTGTACCCCTGAATTTAATATAAAAGTTTAAAAAAATTAAAAAAATACAACATATTAGCTATAGTCACTCTACTGTGCTATCAAATACTAAAACTTAGTTCTTCTATGTAAATATATGTTTGTTCCCGTTAATCAACCTTTCTACATCCCCTTCCCCACCCTGGACACATACCCTTCCTAACCTCTGGTAACTACCGTTCTACTCTACCTCCATAAGACTAACATTTTAAACTCCCACATATGAGTGAAAACATATAATATTTGTTTTTCTGTGCCTGGCTTATTTCAATTAACATAGTGACTTCCAGTTCCATCCACATGTTGTTGAAAATGACAGAATTTCATTCTTTTTAATGGCTGAATAATATTCGATTGCGTATAGATACCACATTTTCTTTATCCATTCATCCATTTGTGGACACTCAGGTTTCTTCCATTTTTACAACAGCTTTACTTAGCTATTGTGAATAGTGCTACAGTAAAAATTGGGATGCAAGTATTCATTTGATTTCCTTTCCTTTGGAAAAATATGCAACAGTGAGATTGCTAGATTGGATAATAGCTCTATTTTCATTTTTCTGAGAAACCTCCATACTTTTTCCCATAATGGCTGTACTAATTTACATTCCCACCAACAGTGTATAAGAGTTCCTTTTTCTATGCATCCTTACCAGTGTTTGTTATATTTTGTCTTTTTGAAATAGCCATTCTAACTGGGATAAAACGATAACTTACCATAGTTTTTATTTGCATTTCCCGGATGAATAGTGATGTTAAACATTTTTTTTTAAATACCTGTTGGCCATTTGTATGTCTCTGTTTGAGAAATGTTTTCAGATCCTTCACCCACCATCTAATGGGATTATTTTATTTGCTGTTGAATTTTTTAAGTTCCGTGAATATTCCGAAAACTGGTCTCTTGTTGGGTGAATAGTTTACAATTATTTTCTCCCATTCAGCATGTTGTCTCTTAAACTCTGTTGATTGTTTCTGTTGCCTATACTGTTGAGGTCTTTGCCACAAAACCTTTGCCTAGACTAATGTCCTGTAAAATTTCTTCTATGTTTTCTTCTAGTAGTTCTAGAGTTTACTGTTTTATGTTTGTCTTTTATCCACTTTCAGTTGATTTTTATATATAGTGAGGGGAAAGGGTTCACTTTCATTCTTCAGCATATGCATATCTGATTTTCCCAGCACCAGTTATTGAAGAGGGTGTCCTTTTCCCAATGTATGTTCTTGGTGCCTTTGTCAAAAGTCAGTTGGCTATAAACACATGGATTTATTTATGAATTTTCTATTCTGTTCCATTAGTCCATGTGTCTGTTTTTATAGCAAATCACATGCTCTTTGCACTACTATAGCTTCGTAGATTAAGTCAGGTAGTATACCTTCAGCTTGGTTATTTTAATATTTTCAGTATTGCTTTGGCTATCTGGACTTTTTATTTCATACAGGTTTTGGGATTGCTTTTCCTTTTTTGTGAGGAATATCATTGGTATTTTGATACAGATTGCATTGAATATGTAGACTGCTTTGGGTAGTATGGTCATTTCAGCAATGTTAATCTTTTTAATCCATGAGCATGGGATGTCTTTCCATTTGTTTGTGTCCTCTTCATTTTCCGTCATCAATGTTTTTGTAGATGTATCTAATATTCTTGGTTAAATTTATTCCTGGGTATTTTATTTTTTGTAACTATTTCAAACAGGATTGTTTTCTTGATTTCTTTTTAATCTAGCTTGTTATTGTTGCATAGAAACACTATAGATTTTTGTATGTTGACTTTGTATTCTGCAACTTTAGTGAAATCAATGATCAGTTCCAAAGATTTTTGTGGACTCTTTAGGTTTTTTAGTATGTAAGATCTTGTTGTCTACAAAGAAAAAAAGTTAGAATTTGTCTTTTCTGCTTTGGGTGCCTTTTATTTCTTTCTTTTGCCTCATTGCTCTGGATAGGATTTCCAGAACTATGTTTACTAGGAGTAGTGAGAATGGGCATCCTTGTCTTGATCCAGTTCTTAAAGGAAAGCATTTCACGTTTTTCCTTTTCAGTATGATATTAGCTGTGGGTTTGTCATCTATGGCCTTTGTTATGTTGAGGTATGTTCCCTCTACCCTAGTTTGTTGAGAGTTTTTATCATGAAGGGAAGTTGAATTTTATCAAATGCTTTTTTGGCTTCTATTGACATGACCATATAGTTTTTGTCTTTCGTACTATTCATGTGATGTACCACATTTATTGATTTGCATTTGTTGAAACTTCTTTGCATCTGTTGGATAAACCCCACTTGGTCATGGTGTATTATCTTTTTGATGTGTTATGGGATTCAATTTGCTAGTATTTTTTGAGGATTTTTGTGTTTATGTTAATTAGGAATAGTGGCCTGTAGTTTTTGTTGTTGTGTCCTTGTCTTATTTTGGTATCTGGTTAATACAGACCTCTTTGAATAGTTAGGCATAATTCCCTCCTCCTCATTTTTTTTTTCGAAATAGTTTAAGAAGAATTGGTGTTCTTGAGAAAAATTAGTTCTTTTTTAAACTTTGAAAGAATTGAGCAGTAAAGCCATCTAGGCCTGGGCTTTTCTTTGTTGGGAAATTTTATTATTGATTCAGTGTCATTACTCACTATTGGCCTGTTCAGATTTTCTGTGCTTTCTTTGTTCAATCTTAGTAGGTTGCATGTGTCCAGAAAAGTAGGCATTTCCTCTAGGTGTCATAATTTGCTAGATGACAGTTGTTTATAATAGTCTCTGAAGATCCTATGTATTTCTGTGGTAACAGTTTTAATATTTCATTTTTTGTTTCTGCTTATGTTTATTTGAGTCTTCTCTCTCTTTTTTGGTCAGTTTAG
This sequence comes from Homo sapiens, assembly GCF_000001405.40. Classification (NCBI taxonomy): domain Eukaryota; kingdom Metazoa; phylum Chordata; class Mammalia; order Primates; family Hominidae; genus Homo; species Homo sapiens. Next base: position 92,133,494 of record NC_000004.12, on the reverse strand, counting down.
CTAGTGGTTTATGAATTTTGTCTATCTTTTTAAAAACCTTTTTTGTTATTTTTGCTTTTGTTTTTGTATTTGTTTAGTTTCTTTTTTTTTCTTTTTTTTATTATTATTATACTTTTAAGTTTTAGGGTACATGCGCACATTGTGCAGGTTAGTTACATATGTATACATGTGCCATGCTGGTGCGCTGCACCCACTAACTCGTCATCTAGCATTAGGTATATCTCCCAATGCTATCCCTCACCCCTCCCCCCACCCCACAACAGTCCCCAGAGTGTGATATTCCCCTTCCTGTGTCCATGTGATCTCATTGTTCAATTCCCACCTATGAGTGAGAATATGCGGTGTTTGGTTTTTTGTTCTTGCGATAGTTTACTGAGAATGATGATTTCCAATTTCATCCATGTCCCTACAAAGGACATGAACTCATTTTTTATGGCTGCATAGTATTCCATGGTGTATATGTGCCACATTTTCTTAATCCAGTCTATCATTGTTGGACATTTGGGTTGGTTCCAAGTCTTTGCTATCGTGAATAATGCTGCAATAAACATACGTGTGCATGTGTCTTTATAGCAGCATGATTTATAGTCCTTTGGGTATATACCCAGTAATGGGATGGCTGGGTCAAATGGTATTTCCAGTTCTAGATCCCTGAGGAATAGCCACACTGACTTCCACAATGGTTGAACTAGTTGACAGTCCCACCAACAGTGTAAAAGTGTTCCTATTTCTCCACATCCTCTCCAGCACCTGTTGTTTCCTGACTTTTTAATGATTGCCATTCTAACTGGTGTGAGATGGTATCTCATTGTGGTTTTGATTTGCATTTATTTTGTTTAATTCTGCTCTGATCCTTATTATTTGTTTCCTACTACTAATTTTTGGTTTTCTTTGTTCTTGATTTTTTAGTTCTTTGAGGTGTATCTTCAGGTTATTCATTTGAAATCTTTCTACTTCTTTGATTTAGGCATTTATTGCTATAAACTTCCCTCTTAGCACAGCTTTTCCTGTGTCCCATAGGTTTTAGTATATTATATTTTGATTTTTATTTCTTTCAACAAATTTTTTTATTTTCTTCTTGATATCTTCATAGAACAATTGGTCTTTCAGGTGCATGTTTAGTTTTCATATAGTTGTATAGTTTTCAAAGTTCCTCTTGTTATTGATTTCTAATTTTATTTCTTTGTGGTCTGAGAAGATACTTGATATGCTTTCCATTTTCAAAATTTTGTTAAAATTTGTTTTGTAGCCTAACTTGTGGTCTATCTTGGAGAATGTTCCATGTGCTGATGCAAATAATGTGTATTTGCAGCTGTTCGATAAAATGTTCTATAACTGTTAGGTCCATTTGGTCTAAAATCAAGTAAAATCTAATGTTTCTTTGTTAATTTTTGTCTAGACAATCTGTCCAATGCTAAGAATGGGGTGTTAAAGTCCCCAAGTATTAATGTATTGGAATCTATCTCTTCCTTTATATTTAGTCGTATTTGTTTTATGAATCTGGGTGCTTTGGTGTTGGGTGCCTGTATCCATAGAATTGTTATATCCTCAGACTGAATTGGTCTCCTTATTCTTATATAATGACCTTTACCTCTTTTTTACTGTTTTTGACTTAAAATCTGTTTTATCTTATGTAAGTATAATTAATTATCCTCTCTTTTGGTTTCTGTTTGCATGGAAACATTTTTTATCTCTTCATTTGCAGTCTATATGTGCTTTTAAAAGTGAAGTAGCTTCTTGTAGGTACCATATTGTTGGGTCATGAAAAAAAATCTATTCAGGCAGTATATATATATATGTGTGTGTGTGTGTATATATATATATATATATTTTTTTTTTTTTTTTTTTTTTTGGTGAGACAGAGTCTCACTCTGTCGCCCAGGCTGGAGTGCAGTGGTGCAATCTCAGCTCACTGCACGCTCTGCCTCCCGGGTTCATGCCATTCTCCTGCCTCATCCTCCCAAGTAGCTGGGACTACAGGCACTTGCCACCATGCCTGGCTGTTTTTTTTTTTTTTTTTTGTATTTTTAGTAGAGACGGGGTTTCACCGTGTTAGCCAGGATGGTCTCGATCTCTTGACCTTGTGATCTGCCCACCTTGGCCTCCCAAAGTGCCGGGATTACAGGCATGAGCCACCGTGCCTGGCCTCAGGCAGTTTATATATTTTAAGTGGGCAATTTATTCTGTTTACATTCCAGGTTACTATCAATATATGAGGTTTTGTTTCTGTTGTATTATTGTTTTCTGGTTGTTTTGTATTTTCTTTGTTCCCTCCTTTCTTCTTATTATTTGTCAAATTGCAATTTGATGGTTTTCTGTAGTGTTCACATTTGAGTTCTTTCTTCTTCCTATTTGTGTGTCTGCTCTACCTGTGAGCTTTATATTATTATGTGCTTTCATAAAGGTGGATATTGTCCTTTCACTTCCAGGTGTAGAATTCCCTTAAGCAATTCTTGTAGGAACATTCTAGTGGTCATAAATTGCCTTTGCTTTTGCTTGTCTGGGGAATAGTTTATTTATCTTTTGCCTATGAAGGAAAACTTTGCTGGGTATTGCATTCTTGATTGAAAATTTTTCTTTCAGCATTTTAAACATATTATCTCATTCTATCCTGGCCTGTAAGGTTTTTGTGAGAAATCTGGTGTTTGTCTGATTTTCTTTATATTTGACTTGACGGTTTTTCTGTTGATGTTTTTAGAATTCTCTTGGACTTTTGATAGTTTGACTATAATATTACTTGGAGAAGATCTTTTTGGATTAAATATATTTACAATTCTGTGAGATTCCTGTATATGAATTTCTGTATCTCTTGCAAGACTTGGGAATTTTCAGGAATCATTTTGTTAAATAGGTTTTCTATGCCTTTGCCATCCTCTTCCAGGAAAACCCAAAATTCAAATATTTTCTTGCATTATATTGTTGTCCCATATGTCATGTAGGCTTTCTTCATTTTTTCTCTTTTTTTTTGTCTGAGTGAGTTATTTCAAAAGACTTGTCTTTAAGTTCAGAAATTCTTCTGCTTGATCTATTCTATTTTTTAAGCTCTCAGTTGTATTTTTTATTTCATTCAGTCCAGGATTTCTATTTGGCCATTTTTCATGATGTCTACCAATTTGTTGAATTTCTCATTCAGATCATATATTGTTTTTCTGATTTCTTTGTGTTGTTTTTCAATGTTCTCTTGTATCTTGTTAAGCTTCTTTTAATATCATTATTTTGAATTCTTTTTTCAGGCATTACATAGATTTCTTTTTTGTTTAAATCTGTTGCTGGAGAACTATCATGTTAATTTGGAGGTAATATGTTTCTTTGCTTTTTTGTGGTGTGTGTGTGTGTGTGTCCTTACATTGGTATTTGCACATCGGGTATAACCTTCACTTTTTTGGATAGGCTTTTGTGGGAAAAGACTTTTTCCTCTAGAGGTACCATTAGTGTTGGTTGGGTAGGGTGCTTTAGCTTTGATTTTGAGTGCATGCATTAGTGTAGTCTCTATATGGTATTTTGGGCTATGAAAATTGTCAGTGATGTCTGTGAGTCCCTCGATGGCAGACTGCAGTTGTTAATGGAGGCTCTGGGGAGGTTTTGTTGGGGATGGGACTGCCAAGTGGGCTGGTGGTGATAGCCACAGGCTGAGCATGCCCATCCTTGGAACCCCAAGTGGTGTACACAGGCACTGGTGTTCCTAGGTCTAGGCAGGTCTATCTTTGGGCTTCCAGGGAGCTTGCTCAGGTGCCAGCAGTGACAGTGATGGGTCAGGTAGGTGGGCTTTTCTTTAAGCCCGTGGGTGGTGAGCATGCAATAGCTGTAGTGGTGATGGGCCAACGCTTGGGCCTCAGGCAACATGTGCAAGTGCCAGTGGTGGGTTGGGCTGGCCAGTCCCCAGACCCTTAGGCCCCCAGATGCCTTGTATGGCTGAGTGCTGGTGGCAGTGGTGGTGGCAGGCTGAGCTGTTCCTTCTTCATGCTCCCAGGAGGTGTGTGCATATGTCAGACATCAGTGCTGGTGAGTGGTGTAGGCTCCGGCAAGGTGTGCATGAGTTCTGGTGGCAACGAGCAGTACAGATTGATCATCTGGTCTCTGGACAACATGCTGGCCCTTGCAGGAGTGGCTTTGAGTAAGGTGAGTTTGTCTTTAGGCCCCCCAATGCTTTGCATGGGTCAGGCTGTGATGGGCAAGAGTTGGGCAATTTCTAGTCCCCAGAGAGTAGGCTTGGGTGATTGTGGCAAGTGGGTTGGGTTTGTTTTTAAGGCCCTTTATAGTTCAAGCATGTGCCAGAAGTGGCAGAGAGGGTGGGATGATCCTTAGGCCCCCAGACAGCATATCTGGGCTCTGGCAGGGTGGTGCCAGGTAGCTGGGCCTATTGTCAGGTCCCATGATTGGGCATACAGGTACAAGCTGTGGTGGCAAAACCACCCCTATGAACTTTATGAAATTAATCAGGGAAGAAGGGAGGGGGAACAAAAATAAACCAAGCTTGCAGCTCATTTCATATTAATCATTAGATCAGCTTACTCTCTGACCTGCTTCCTCATAGTTACTTGGTGCCTATTTTCCTAGAATCATGTAGATCATGTTACAAGATTATAGTTCCCCTTAATTTCCCCATAGAAAACAACTTGAACAGTATGAAGCGTTAAGTTTTCCCTTTGAGACATTCCTTCAAGTTGTATGTACAAATGAAACTATTACATCAGCTGGTCTAAAGGACTTCACTGGCTCAGCTGGTCTGAGGGACCCCATAATAAGCTGACTCACCAAAGAATGCAGTTTTCCTATCCTGATGACTTTATGCCCCTTGTCCCAATCAATCAACAACCCAATTTTCCAGCCCCTTGCTCTCCAAAATCCCTTTAAAAACTCTATCCTAGGACTCCTTAGAGAGGCAGATTTGAGGGACTCCCCCAGCCCTCTCACTCAGTGCCCTGTGATCATTACATTCTTTCTCTGCTACCAACTCTGCTGTCTTAGTGTAATATGTCTGTTACTGCACAGTGGGAATATAAACCTGTTGGTTCTATAACAGTGGGGAGGGTGGGGTGATCCCCAGGCCCACTGAAGGTGCTGGTGCAAGTGCTCACTGGCTCTGCTGCTGCGGGGTATACTGCTGTCAGTGGCAGCAGCCCTCGGTAGGTGGCTTTCACATTCTGGGGAGGCTTTGGCACCTTTTATCCCTAGGGCAGCCTCCCTGGAATGCTGCACCATCCTTTTTAGGGGATTTAGGACACTTCATGGGCTGGTGCTGGGTACTCAGTCACACCACTGAGAATAGCCAGCATCATGATGCTGAGGCCCTCTGGGTGGTGTGAGTGGATGTAAGTGGAGCTCTAGGAATGTGGAGATGTAGGGGCTGTTGGACTGTATGGGAGGATGACATCTGGTAGTAACTGGGCACTCAAACTGGTGCTGTGCTACAACTGCTTGGGTCTTGGGGTAGAGTGTGTGGGACCCAGCACAAAATCCCCCTCTAGCACAATGTCTTGGGAAAACTCCAAGCAGCTTCCTATACTAATCTTAGGGCCTTTAATGGCTGAGGGGCTCTCCCATGGCTAGGATCACAGGAGTCCATGATGGGAATGTGGTCCACTGGTCTACATTCTGGTCTTACTGTTTCCTCAGACTGGGCAGTTTTTCCTGGCTCTCAGCTAATTCTGGCAAGGCTGGTTGCTTTGCTTTATTCTCCTTCAGTGCCTCAACAGTTCCTTGTCACTTCCCTGATGAATTCCAGTATTTTCTCATAGACATTGTATTCAATGTGTGATTATCTACTCACCATTTTTGTGTCTCCTTGTGGAGGAGGTGAGTGATGGGTGCCTCTAGTCAGCCATCTTGAAGCCCCTCCCTGAACTCCCAGTTCTCAATCCCAGACATTGGTGAGGACCTACTTTTCTTCCTACACTGGTGTGAGATAAGTATTCTTTCATATATTTGAACTTTTCAAATTTAAGTTTAAGGGACTTTAAACTGCAATAGAGTAATTTCAGATTGACCATGATGACTCCACAGATGGAGGAGCCATAGATCACAGTGTGGAGAGTGACCTCTGGACATGTATGCTGGGGCAACTATTGTAAATAGCCTTGCTCCTTACAACTGAAAATCTTTTTCACATAGGAATTTATATAACTTTCTTTTGTTTCTGGGAGTAGGAAATTTAAAATGCAAAAAGAATCAGATGATTATTCAACAAGTGTTTATTAGTGGCCATATATATTCAGGGTATAGTGTTAGGCACTGGGTGAAAAGTAGTGAAGAGTATAGATAATAATAATTGTGTCTTGCCTCAAATTACCTCATGCATATTTTTCATGAAATGATCCTGCAAAAATGGGAATTAGTGGGAAAATTATATGGAAATAATTTTAATGTTTATAATGAAATTAAAATATAGGATCCAATAAGTCATCACACTGAGGAGCCCAAAGCAAATTGGGGGCATAATTCTGATCCTGTGAAACTGAGAAGTACCCAGTGAGATAGGGTAAATAGGACAAAGGGGATGAACATTTAAAATTCATTTATTTATAATTATGCCTGCAGTTAGTCCTTCTTAGCAGTATATTTTGTCTTCATCCTATAAGTATGCATATTTAAAAATATTCCATTTCCTAATATTTTACTTAAGTTTTGATTTTTTACCCAATTTTTGGAACAGATCATGAATTGCTATAAGCCTATAAAGATAAAAAGAAGACAAAAACACCTATATTCCTTCAGAGAAATACAGCTAAAAAAATAGAAAAGCAAGTGACAAGCCTAATTTCTTCTGATTGAATTCCATGAGAAACTCAAATTATTACAGTGTATTTAATCCATCAAAATAAAAACCTAGTGTTACATTTATAAAATAAATAAGACCTTTGAAAAAATAGACCTTAAATAATGTAAACAATCTGCAAACAATAACTTGGGGAGGTGATCTAGAGCATAAGATGGGAATGCCAGATAATGGGGAAGAAATGCTGTTATGGACTCTAAATGGTTCCTGGTACCATTGGAGTAGCTGCAACTACAGGAGAGAAAGGTCAAAAATCTGTGGAAAACAGTAACTTTTTGGTTTCCTACTTGTGCTTTTAAGTGACCCCATATCCTCACACGCCTTTGTAGAACTGCAAAGAAGAATCTGTGTGTGTTTTTGGGTAGAGAATACCATGACCAGGAAGGATCGTAGTTTATTGTTTTTGAGAAAGAAAATGGTAAAATATATATATATATATATATATATATATATATATATAGCCATATTACAAAGAAGAAGATTGCCAGTTTATATTCCTTATAATGGTTGTTTTTGTTGTTGTTGTTGTTTACAGCCATTCTTATTCTGTTCCAATGTCCGCTTTGAGAGGACAGAGTAGATGAGGAAGATGTACTCATTCTTTTAGCCAGTCTCCCATTGTAGAAGGTAAGAAAGGGTAAAAGGAGTAGGAGAGTTAAAGATACCTGGTAAATCATGGGTACGATATTTTCAGTCATTAGCCTCTAAAATCACTCATAGTCATTCCTAAAAGCTGTCTTTTTCTAAACTCTGTGAAGAGGACTAATTTGTAAGCATTTCAAATATTTACATATATGCTAAAAATAGTATAATTAATTTGGGAGACAAAGAACTATTTTCAAAGGAGAAAAAAGAAATGTGGTTTAATTCACAATTTTTAAAAACCCACAGTTGGTGGATCCTGGTCTGTGGAAACTGACATGAAGTTGAAATAATTTATTAACAGTAAAGCCTTCACCACCCTCCCTACCCCCTGCATCTGTGTGAGTTTCATCCCTAACCCCTGAGCTCCTTGACAGAAGGGGCATTTATTTTTATACCTAGCACAATGCCTGGCACAAAACTTATACTACTTATATAATTTTTCTTGAATTATAATTGAAGTGCATTATATGTATCAGCAGTTTTTCTTGTTAGTGATGTAGTTACTACCTCAGGATCCAGGCTTCTAGAGATTTTTTGTTTTGTCACTATCTGCTTCATTTTTATATGAGATACTTGCTACTCACACTTTTTTCTCCTTTGTCCATGTAGCTGTCAGCTTTTGCTGTGCAAGAAACCAACACAAAACTTAGTGACTTGAAATAACAAGCGCTGGTACGAACACGGTGGCTCATGCTTGTAATCCCAGCATTTTGGGAGGTCGAGGTGGTTGGATCACTTGAGACCAGGAGTTTGAGACAAGCCTGGCCAACGTGGCAAAAACCCATCTCTACTAGAAATACAAAAATTAGCTAGGTGTGGTGGTGGGCACCTGTAATGCCAGCTACTCAGGAAGCTGAGGTGGGATAATTGCTTGAACCAGGGAGGCAGAGGTTACAGTGAGCTGAGATCTCACCAATGCACTCCATCCTGGGTGATAGAGGGAGACTCACTCTCTCTCTCTCTTTCTTCATGGCTGGCTCAGAAAAACCTGTGGTAGGCTGGCTGCTTAATCTGGTTGTCTCAGAGAGCTTCTTTGCTCCAAGCGGCCCCTTATTCTTTAGCAGGCTAGCTGGATTTCTTCACATGATGATCTCAGAATTAAAGCAGCAAAAGAAAGTCCCAATCTGCAAAAACTTTTACAGTCTTTGTTGCATTGTATTTGCTTGGCCAAAGCAGACTGCATGGCCAAGCCCAGGTTTGTTAGAGGATTCATTGTCAAGAGCCTGAATTCAAGAGACTATGAACCAAGGGTTTGCAATTACATTAACAACCTCATACTTGAACACACTCATGAGTCAAAAGGCTCATACTTGGCACCTTGGAAATTAGGCATCTGATTCACATACAATTCTTCTATCAAAGGCTTTCTTAAAAATTTAAAATTATATATATAATTTAAACAATTATAATTAATGACCTATCATAGAGAAGTTAGATTGACTTCAAATTTCTATAGTATGTTATACTTATAACCATAATTCTCTAAGCTTTCCCATGTTGACAGCTTTCCTTCTGCTTCAGTTCTTTTTTCCATTTCTTTTACCCCAGCATTGTCATTATATATTCTTTTCATATTAATTGCTAAGTGGTAAGGAACTTACGACTATATCTGCTCTAATGCTGATTTTCATTTTAATTTTTAAATTAACAAAAAAATTTCATAGTATACCTGCTGGCCACATCCCCTAAAGTGTTCTTCCCAACAGTTTTGCAGTGTTCTTTCCTTCTTGTCATCCAGATTTCAATTTAAATGTCACCAATTTAGAGACTCAAATCTAAAGCTCATGATTAGTCTCTCATGCCATTTCTATGTTTTATTTTCATCAAAGCAGTAGATTATCTTATTCATTTATTTAATATGTATAACATTTCTTCCCTTCAAATGGCACGCAACAGTATGATCAAGCAGTTGATAAAATATTGAAATACTTCCATACAGTTTGACAAATAGCCATTTCTGTGATATTCCCAAAGCCCATAAGCCACCCAAACATCCAGTCCTCTCTTTGACACCCATTGGATTTACTTGTCATCCAGAAACAAAAGAATTAATTCTGACTTAGCAAGTACAGTCTAGGGCTGCCTGGAATGGCCAGTGTCTACTCTGAATAAGCAGAGACTGTGCTGTAACCACTGTTAGATATCTGTAATTATCACTGCCTATATAATATTTGCTATCTGCCTCTAGCATTGAGCAGTGTGTTTCCTTAATTTGCTATTAGAAGCAAAATGGGTTGTTTTTAATAGAGGAATTCAATAAACCTTATCTTTTAGACTCGGACCTTGGCAAACTAAAAAAAAAAAAGAAAAATAATTTTGTTAGGCATTCCTTTGTCAAGATAATAATCTGTTTTCTTATTTCAAATTTCTGTTTTCATATTCCAGAAGTGAACTATTACCTCATCTTTCTCTATGCCTTCATTCTTTAACAACTCCTAATCTCCCCTTTGACAAATAAATATTTTTAATGCTTAATGGGCTAATGCATAGTTTAAAAGTAGAGGTGGGGGCAGCGGGTGGGGAAAGAGAATATACACAATGTTTTTCTTAAAATATTGTTGCATTCAAAATGCTGAGTAAATTGGGATCTGAACATTAATATGGCATAAAAAGAAATGATATTTGATACAGGGCTACAAACAAATTGAGAATAACACACCTAAATTATCACCATGAAACCACTTTATGGGCATAAGATGTATGATATGTATGGTATTACTGTATTAAGGCTGATTTACAATTATAATTCATTTTCATCAATAAAATAGATTTATGAAATTTAATGTCAGGCTAAATGGAATTAGTATCCAGATTGCTGGATAACTCTAAGCCTCAAATGAGAACCTCACTTAAACATGCTTTGTGTGGCCAGGTGCAGTGGCTCCTGCCTGTGTGGTGATTCACACTTGTAATTCCAGCACTTTGGGAGGCTGAGGTGGGCGGATGGCTTGAGGACAGGAATGCCAGATCAGCCTGGACAACATGGTGAAAACTTATCTCTACTAAAACACAAAAATTAGCCAGGTGTGGTGGTGCACGCATGTAATTCCAGCTAGTTGGGAGGCTGAGGCACGAGAATAGCATGAACCCTGGAGGCAGAGATTGCAGTGAGCCAAGATTGCACCACTGCACTCCAACTGGGCAACAGAGTGAGATTCTGTCAAAGAAAAAAAAAAAAAGCTTTGCATGTGTCTATACAAGTCTAGCTTATTATTATAATTTTTGCATAAATAGTACTTATTACATCAAGGAAAGGAAGTGCCTTATCCATTTTGGTAACCGTAGTGCTTTGTGCATTCTAGGTACACAGTAAATTATTGTTGTTATTTTTTACTTAAGCAGATGAAGAACAAAACTATTTTAATCTTCCTGTGAGACTTGTACCCTTACCTCACTCTCTAGACTATCTGAACTTCCCCAAATACCCTATTAATTTAATTTTTCCTTGTTCTCAGAGGTAAATTTGCTTTTTAAAATAACTAAAAGTACAGACGTCCATCTGGAAAAAAATCTTTAGCAAGTTGAAAAAATGATGGGCCTAAAGTAGCAAGTAGTAACTAAATGTACTTTTATTAAAAATAAACATTGCTCTTAAATATTAGCTTAAATATTCACAAAGAACATTATAAAGAAGAGAGTGTGTTGTCTCCTAAGGCATTATGGGAAAGTTTTTGATCATGGTGTTCCTGAATGGCCGAGGTGGGTGTCCTTGATTAAGCTAGACAGGATTATCTGCCTTTGGATCTTGTCTTTCTCATGTGAACTTAGATTTTTCTGAACTCTTTAGATGAATAGTTACCTTCACCACATTTTAAGAGGAGAACCCAAAGTGTGAATGTCTCCAAGATATTCAGATTATTTTCAGATGACATGGTACCTAATGAAGGAAAGTCTGGCAATAGAATCTGATAAATCTGCTACACATTTTAAGCTCCTACACATCATTAAGGGTTTCCAAAGGGAGTCCGATTCTGATCTTTATTGCCTTAAACATTACAGAGGGGGCTACTTTGGATTTAGTAATCCACATTTTATTATATTTTCCTTCAAAACTCAAGGGTATTGACAGACCCAGAAATAGGCAGATGCTTTTGTTAATATAAAACCCTTAACAATAATAATAATATACCTTATTGTGTAACAATTCTAGAACAGAAAATAGATATGTAAAAATGAAGCTTCTGAAGGATTGATTTTGACTGTATGAATGACATAAGGAAAAAGGCTTATCTTCTAGGGCTTAACCTCAGAGGAAAAGTATAAGCACAGCACTGGAAGGGATCATTGAACTGCTATAGGTTTACATTACATTAGCCAGAGCCTTTGTGATTATAGAAAAAGAGAAAGAGCAGCCAAACTATCTTTGCCTGCTACACAGTTTTGGATTGGCTAAAATACCACGGGTGTTATTTTCAAAGACTATTGGAGAATTCGTTTCAATTGTGTGCTTTTTTCTCTATAGTACATTATAAAAACTTGAAAAAGCCTGACCACCTCTTCTCAAAAGTTGTCAAATATTAAGACAGCAAGAAAACAAACCTCTTTGCCTTTAAGACCTATTTGGCGTTGTTGTCTCTTGTGTTCTTGACCACACTTCCCTTTTGCCCTTGTGTACTTTCAGCTTCTCCCTCCAAACTAACAGCTGTGGCCACACACTTGGCAGCTGGCAAGCTAACACCCAGATGCCAAGCTCTTGAACAGATTTTCTAGGAGCAGACTTGGGCTCTATGGCGGCTGCCCACAAACCCCCTCCCTGCTAGCTGGTTCCTTGGCAAGTTCTTTGATTCATTTGATTTTTGGCAAAGTAACTCCCCTGCTGACTATGAAGTCTCCGAGTCTGTCAAGCGCATTAGTCAGTCTAAACGTTTATTTGACTGCCCCTTCTTACCGTGTCTAAAGATGAAAGTTATCTAAGATCTATGTTTAATGTCATACAGAGCTAAATAAAAAGTGGTTCTGCACAGTTGAGTTACGTTACTATAAAGGATGAGAATAAGCCTTAGCCCTAAGGCCAAACCTTCACTGATGCTAGCCTCTTTCCAATGAGTGGTTTGTAACATAATGCTGTGACCATTTCTTGGCAAAGACAACTTTTCCTACCTTATGGGGTGGCAAGTTACCAAAACTCTCAAAGAAAACATTTGGCCCAGACACTAGATACTTTCTTTCTTTCTCTTAATGGTGAAAATATGGTGAATTATTTCCCTTAAATGACTCTCCTTTACAAATAAGGTTGCTGAAGAGATTTTGGAAAAATCTGCTTTAGGTACTAATTGGAATTGGCCTTCTATCACTCATAGACCTGAGTTCTGCTGTGGCTAAAAGATTTAATTGAAAAGATTCAATCTGATTTATTCTCTGTCCTTCTACATGCATTTGAAAAGTAATCCAGGTGGACATCACTTGCTTTACAGTTATGTATCAGAAATTTTACACATTTGGGAAGATCTTTTAATTCCTTGAGAATGTCTCCTTTTTAAAATAATGAATCAACTCATATTAATGCTATACAATAATTCAACAAGATGAAAAGAAGTAGAGAATATACATTTGGAACAATAGCTAAGTAATTGACAGACTTGACTCCTCAGGCTGAATAGACTTACTTCCTGCTTTGGGAAAAGGGATTGCAGTAGAAAGCTCTGCTTCTGTTTCCTGTATGAGATATTGTATTTATCTGTTTTCACACTGCTATAAAGAATTACCTGAGAATGGGTAATTTATAGAGGAAAGAGATTTAACTGACTCACAGTTCTGCGTGGCTGGAAAGGTTTGAGAAAACTTATAATCATGGCAGAGGTGAAGGGGAAGCAAGGCATATCTTACATAGTGGCAGGAGAGAGAGAGAGTGAGAGGGTAAGTGACACATTTTAAAACCATCAGCTCTCATGAGAGCTCACTCACTATCACAAGAATAGCAAGGGAGAAATCTACTCTCATGATTCAGTAATCTCCCACCAAGTCCATCCCCTGACACGTGGGGATTATAATTAGAGATGAGATTTGTGTGGGGACACAGAGCCAACCCATATTATTCCACTCTTGGCCATTCCCAAATCTCCTGTCATTTTCACATTTCAAAACCAATCATTCCTTCCAACGGTCCCCCAAAGTCTTAACTCATTTCAGCATTAATTTGAAAGTCCAAGTCCAAAGTCTCACCTGAGACAAGGCAAGTCCCTTCAATCTATGAGCCTGTAAAATAAAAAACAAGTTAGTTACTTCTAAGATACAGTGGGGATACAGGTATTGGGGAAATGTTTCCGTTCTAAATGGGAGAAATTTATCAAAACAAAGGGGCCACAGTCCCCATGCAAATCCAAAACCCAATGGGGTAGGCATAAAATCTTAAAGTCTGGAAATAATCTCCTTTGACTCCATGTCTCACATTCAAGGCATGCTGATGCAAAAGGTCAGCTCATGAAGCCTTAGGCAGCTCCACTCATGTGGCTCTGCAGGGTACAGCCCCCTCAGCTGCTTTCACAGGCTGACATTCAGTACCTGCAGCTTTTCCAGGCACACAGTGCAAGCTGTCAGTGGATCTACCATTCTGGAATCTGGGGGACAGTGGTCCTCTTCTCACAGCTCCACTAGGCAGTGCCCAGTTGTGAACTCTGTGTGAGGGTCCCAACCCCACATTTCCCATCTGCATTGCCCTAATAGAGGTTCACCATGAGGGTTCTGCTTCTGCAGCAGACTTCTGCATCCAGACATTTCCATATATCCTCTGAAATCTAGGCAGAGGCTCCCAAAGTTCAACTCTTGTCTTCTGGCAACCTGCAGGCCAAATACCTCATGGAAGCTGCCAAGGCTTAGGGCTTACACCCTCCAAAGCAATGGCCCAAGCTGTACCTGGGACCCTTTTAGCGATGGCTGGAGCTGGAGCACCTGGGATGCAGGGTACCATGTCTCAAGGCTGCATAGAGCAGTGGGACCTGGCCCAAGAAACCATTTTTTCCTACTAGGCTTCCAGGACTATGATGAGAGGAGCTGCCGTGAAGATCTCTGAAATGCTCTGGAGAAATTCTCCCCATTGTCTTGACTATTTACACTCAGCTTCTCTTACTCAAATTTCTTCAGCAGGTAGCTTTATTTTCTCCCTAGAAAATCAGTTTTTCATGGTTCAAAACAAAAACAAAAATAAAACAAAAAACAATGAATCCAGGAGCTGGTTTTTTGAAAAAAATAACAAAATAGATAGACCGCTAGCTAGACTAATAAGAGAGAAGAATCAAATACAAAAATAAAAATGATAAAGGGAATGTCACCACTGACCCCACAGAAATATAAACAGCCATCAGAGAATATTATAAACACCTCATGCAAACAAACCAGAAAACCTAGAAGAAATGGATAAATTCCTGGACACATTCACCCTCCCAAGACTAAACCAGCAAGAAGTTGAATCTCTGAATAGACCAATAACAAGTTCTCAAATTGAGGCAGTAATAAATAGTCTGTCAACCAAAAAAAATCTCAGGACCAGGTGAATTTACAGCTGAATTCTACCAGAGGTACAAAGAGGAGCTGGTGCCATTTCTTCTAAAACTGTCCCAAACAATTGAAAAGGACGAAAAGTTCTAATCTCTAACTCATTTTATGAGACCAGCATCATCCTGATACCAAAACCTGGCAGAGACACAACAGGGAAAGAAAACTTCAGACCAATATCCCTGATGAACAGTGATGTAAAACTCCTCAGTAAATTACTGGCAAACTGAATCCAGCAGCACATCAAAAAGCTTGTGCACCACGAACAAGCTGACTTCATCCCTGGGATGCAAAGCTGGTTCAACATATGCAAATCAATAAATGTAATTGATCACATAAGCAGATCTAAAGACAAAGAGCACATAATTATCTCAAGAGATGTGGAAAATGCCTTCGATAAAATTCAACATCCCTTCATATTAAAAACTCTCAATAAACTAGGTATTGATAGAACATACCTCAAAATAATCAGCCATTTATTACACACCCGCAACCAATATCATACTAAATGGGCAAAAGCTGGAAGCATTCCCCTTGAAAGCCAGCACAAGACAAGGATGCCCTCTCTCACCACTCCTATTCAACATAATATTGGAAGTTCTGGCCAGGGCAATTAGGCAAGAGAAATAAGTAAAGCATATTTAAATAGGAAGACAGGAAGTCAAACCGTCTCTGTTTACAGATGACATGATCCTATATCTACAAAACCCCATCATCTGAGCCCATAAGGTCCTTAAGCTGATAAGCAACTTCAGCAGTGTCACAGGATACAAAATCAATGTGCAAAAACCACAAGCATACCTATACACCAGCAACAGACAAGCAGAGAGACAAAGTAAGAATGAATTCACATTCACAATTGCTACAGAGAGAATACAATACCTAGGAATACAGTGAACAAGGGAAGTGAAGGACCTCTTCAAGAACTACAAACCACTGCTCAAGGAAATAAGAGAGGACACAAACAAATGAAAAACCATTCCACACTCATGGATAGGAAGAATAAATATCACGAAAATAGCCATGCTGTCCAAAGTAATTTATAGATCCAATGTATTCTCATTAAACTACCTTAACATTCTTCACAGAATTAGAAAAAACTACTTTAAAATTGCTATGGAACCAAAAAAGAGCCCATATAGCCAAGATAATCCTAAGCAAAAAGAACAATGATGGTGGCATCGTGATACTTGACTTCAAACTATACTTAAAGGCTACAGTAACCAAAACAGCATAGTACTGGCATAAACACACACACACAGACGAATGGAACAGAATAGAGAACTCAGATATAAGACCACAAGACCACACGTCTATGACCATCTGATCATCAACAAACCTGACAAAAACAAGCAATGGGGAAAGGATTCTCTATATAGTAAATGGTGCTGAGAAAACTGGCTAGCCATATGAGAAAATTGAAACTGGACCCCTTTCTTACACCTATACAAAAATTAACTCAAGATGGATTAAAGACTTAAATGTGAAACCCCAAACTATAAAAATTCTAGAAGAAAATCTAGGCAATACTCTCCAGGACTTAGGCACAGGTAAAGATTTTTATGACAAAAACATCAAAAGCAATTGCAACAAAAGCAAAAACTGACAAATGGTATCTAATCAAACTGAAGAGTTTCTGCACAGCAAAAGAAACTATCATCAGAGTGAACAGACAACCTACAGAATGGGAGAAAATTTTTGCAATCTATCCATCTGAAAAAGGTCTAATATCCAGAATCTACAAGGAACCTAAACAAACTTACAAGAAAAATACAAACAACCCCATTAAAAACTGGGTAAACGATATGAAGAGAAGCTTGTCAAAAGAAAACCTTTATGTGGCCAAAAAACATGAATAAAAGCTCAACATCACTGATCATTAAAGAATTGCCAATCAAAACCACAATGAGATACCATCTCACACCAGTCAGAATGGTGATTATTAAAAAGTCAAGAAACAACAGATGCTGGTGAGGCTATGGAGAAATAGGAATGCTTTTACACTGTTGGTGGGAATGTAAATTAGTTCAAACACTATGGAAGACAGTGTGGTGATTCCTCGAAGACCTAGAACCAGAAATACCATTTGACCCACCAATCCCATTACTGGGCATATACCCAATGGTATATAAACCATTCTAGTATAAAAACACATGCATGCATATGTTCATTGCAGCACAATTCACAATAGCAAAGACGTGGAATCAACCCAAATGCCCATCAGTGATAAACTGGATAAAGAAAATGTGGTACGTAAAAACCATGGAATACTATGCAGCCAAAAAACTGGAATGAGATCATGTCCTTTGCAGCAACAGAGATGGAGCTGGAAGCCATATCCTAAGCAAACTAACACAGGAAGAGAAAGCCAAACACTACATGTTCTCACTTATAATTGGGAGCTGAACAATGAGAACACATGGACACAAGGAGGGAAACAACACACACTGGGGCCTGTTGGGGGGTGGAGGGAGGGAGAGCATCAGGAAAATTAGCTAATGCACATGAGGCTTAATACCTAGGTGATGCATTGATAGGTGCAGCAAACCACCATGGCACACATTTACCTATATAACAAACCTGCATGTCCTACTCATGTATCCCAGAATTTAAAATTAAATTAAATTTTTAAAAGGAAGAAAATCAGTTTTTCTTTTCTTCCACATGGTCAAGCTGTAAATTTTTATAAACTTTTATGCTCTGCTTCCCTTTTAAACATACATTCCAATTTCAGACCATCTCTTTTTGAGTTGGCATGCTTATGAAAGCATATGACTGTATGCTTTAGGAAAAAGCCAGGTCGCATCTTGAATGTTTTGCGGCTTAGAAGCTTCTTCTGCCAGATACCCTAAATCAACTCTCTCAAGTTCAAAGTTCCACAGATCTCTAGGGCAGGGGAACAATGCTGCCAGTCTCTTTGCTAAAGCATAGCAAGAGTGACCTTTGCTCTAGTTCCCAATAAGTTCCTCATCTCCATCTGAGACCACCCCAGCCTGGACCTCATTGTCTATATCACTATGAGCATTTTGGTCAAAATCATTCAACAAGTCTCTAGGAAGTTCCAAACTTTCTCACATCTTTCTGTCTTCTTGTGAGCCCTCCAAACTGTTCCAGCCTCTGCCTGTTACCCAGTTTCAAAGTCACTTCCTCATTTTCAGGTGTCTTCATAGCAGTGCCCCCAAATTCCAGTACCAATTTTCTCTATTAGTCTATTTTCACACTGCTATAAAAGACTACCTTAGACTGGGTAATTAGTAAGGGAAAGAGGTTTAATTGACTTACAGTTCCATATGGCTGGAGAGGCTTCAGGAAACTTACAATCACGGCAGAAGGCAAAGGGGAAGCAAAGCACATCTTACATGGGGGCAGGGGAAAGAGAGTGAGAGGGGAGCTGCCACACTTTAAAACCATCAGCTCTCATGAGAACTTACTCACCATCACAAGAAAAACAAGGGAAAAATCCATTCCCATAATTATAAATATGTATATGAGATATATAACATTAAATAAATTAAATTTAAATAAATCAAATAAAATATAAATATATATTAAATATTATATAGATATTATAAATAAGTCTCCCACCATGCCCCTCCTCTGACACATGGGGATTATAATTCCAGCTGAGATGTGGGTGGGAACACAGAGCCAAACTGTATTAGATATTTATACCAATGGCTTACATGCTACTTGAAGTGTCTTATTCAAACATAGTTTATTTTCATGGCATATTTGGTGAATTGTTTTAACCTTTCCCTTTAGATTTACTATCACATGGGTTATTGCAGAAGAAAAGATGCATAATATCATCCAAAATTCAATATGTTCATAAAAATATGTATTACGTGCTTATTGTGTATAACCACATTTTGAGGAATACAGTGATATCACAGGCACCTTCCTCACCACTCAACAGTTTACAGTTCACCTTAATTTAAGTTGAATTCTACACTTGATGTAATTCTGTCAATACAGATGACGTTGGTTTCTTGCACTGGATTATAGTTTCATAATTTGAAGTTCTATAGAATAGTTTGCAGTAAAACACAAAGTGAAAACATGTATTCTCATAGTTTAACAATAGGATTTTTAATTCAATAGTAAAATGTTTAGACAATAGGTATGCACCTGGCTAATTTTCTCGTTATTTGGAAACACATACACAAGAATATATGCATATCTCATGTATACATATATCATAATATATATATAAACCCTAAAGAAAAAGGCATTAGTTTTCTTATACTAAAAACATTTTTATTAACATCTATAGCTATGCAAAGAAGAGCTTATCTGAAACCTTCACAAAACACATTTTTCAAGAAAAGAATAGTGTTTTATCTCTTTTTATAGGATACTATTTTATTAGTCTATTATTTAATAAAATATAAAACATATAATTATCTCATTTTTGATATATATAAATGAAATATTCCTTACTTCCATTACTAGCCTGACTGGAACAAGTTAACTGTAAATTTTGTAACTCAATG
Source organism: Homo sapiens (assembly GCF_000001405.40). Lineage (NCBI taxonomy): Eukaryota > Metazoa > Chordata > Mammalia > Primates > Hominidae > Homo > Homo sapiens. Next base: position 92,114,090 of record NC_000004.12, on the reverse strand, counting down.
CATTTCCCACTTTCACATATAGAGTTGTCATATATAAAATCTAACTTAAAATTATACCTATAAATTATCAGCACTTTAGTGCCTAAAAGGTATGTATGTACATAATTTGAATAATAGAAAATCCAGGGACCATGTATTCAATAAAATATATGGTATTAAAAGGCGTGCACAAATTGCTTCAGGGCATCTATCAAGCAATTATTCATTTTTAGAGGGTGGTAGTAGAAATTAATTAACCGAATCATCAGTGGAAAAAGGGAATGGTATGTAATAACAACAAAATTTGAAATACTTTTGGAAAAATAACATTTGAAATAGTAAAATTTTATCAATTATTTTGTACATTTAATGAAGTCTTGAAAATCTTTTCATCTCAAGAGATCTAAAACTGCTAAATCAAGAGTTGGCTAGAATTTTATGAGAAGATGAGATAGAATTTATTTTTCTAATGTTCCAAATTTTTAAAAGACAGATGGATTGATAGCTCCTTGTATGCAGTATAAAGCACACATTACTACATTTCCTGAGTAACTAGGAACTGGTAGAACAGATCTATATTAAAATTAGTCCAGTTGAATCCAAATGGAGTCTATATCTTGTAAGCAATCATATCTGAGTCAAGTGATACCACTACTATGATTTCTAAGCCATTAAGTAGCCCTTATGAGAAACATTGATTCCTTAAGATTAGCTATTTATAATACTCATAGATTTGTGGCAGAACTTTCATGGAGAAATGCCTTGAAAGCCTTCAAGGTGAAGCCAAACTTAATAGAAGGATAGGAAACTATCATTATGGCACGAAGATATTTATTATTACACATTTAATAGAAAACTTTCCATTTCTCAGGTGACCTAATTTATGCCATATTGTCACTACAGAAATGTAAATTTGTATTTTGTTCTGGGTTCAATGGATTCTTTCTTGGTTAAAAGAGCAGAAGCAGAGGGTACACGGCATCTCTAAATCTTCTGCCCAGCATAGCAGTTATTGCTTCCAATTCAGCAGCCAAGTCACTAAGCCAGACAAAGTGATTCCTCCATTCACACCCACAGCCATAAACAACAGTCACCTTTAGGGAAATCTTTGTACACTGCTTGCTTTTCTATGTCTATCCATCAAGCAAATGAGCAATCTATTTCTGCCGTGGTACACTCCCACCTCAATGAATCCCTAGGCATCTGCCACTGTCAATTTGTACATCAGCAAGCAAAACCACAAATAGATCCAATTTGTCCAATTTTGTAGGAGGATTTTCAAGTAGTTTCCAATATACCTGTTCAGTTGGTTGTAGTGAAGAGACTCAGTTCTGAAAGGAACTTTAGAATACGTAACTGAGTACTTAGGATACTCTAGAAGAATTTATGAGATATCCTAGGACAACTCAACTGCATATGCATAACCACATATTATGGTGAATTGTAACTCAGTTATGAGAAAAAGTTACAGATAGTGAAGAGAAATTACACTCAATCCGAAATTTACCTTATCTTTATAGTAGCCCATGAGAATGTCTCACAGATAATAGAGTCTATCATAGAAGCAAAAAACAAGACTGACAGCTTTATGTTAGATATTTATACAGCATATACTACTGGAAAATTTGACACACTACCTGATACAAAAAAATTCAATTGGAAAAAATAGGAATAATAATTAAGTTTTTAAAAATTACCTTATACATCTTGCCCTTGATCCTTAGGGATATACCTAATAAAGTTATCCAATCAATTATTAAACTTAAATCACATTTACATAGGTTTCCCAGTGTGTCTAGATTAAGCTTTGGTAATGAATATAAAATCATTTCTAAAAAGCAAAATTTCTAGATGCATGAATGGCATTACAATAAAGGCATACTTTAAGAAGTATATTAAAAAAGAGTTTTAATATACTGTATTCTATATTAAGGAACTATAGTTCTATAATTTTAATATTTTACTATGATTCCTGAAATGAGTGATACAGTTGCAATTACACAAAACATAGAAGCATATTATATTAAAATATTTTAATTAAAATATCTTAAGCATTATTTAATAAAGAAATACTACTTTAGTTGAATTTAGGCAAAAACTATCTGTAGATATAAAAGATTTTTATTTCATTCTGTCAACTGCATCAAAGAAGCTGCTCTATAATGATATGATATAAAGGAAATTTGTAGTGCATTTGAGGAAAAAATATGAGGACAATAAAAAGGAATATTTTTCACATAACAATGGGAGCTCAGCGTATATTTTGTTACCTATGAAACAATTTCTCCCGACAGTAACCTTTAGTATTAAAAATTATTAGAGTACCTCCTGAGGGTAACTGTAAACAATTTTTACAAGGAAAGGTAATGTTTAATGATACAGAAAAAGGGGAGGAGCAAACCTGGAATCATGGAGGTCTTGAAACAAAGAAGCAATTGTAACAGCAACTCAAGCCTTGTATAAAAGGATTTTATAGGCTGTGCTTCTTGTCAACTGTTACCTAAGTCTAGCTGGAAAGTATCTGCACAAAAGGGAGAATAATTTGATGAATACAATGAGAAAAATATGATTCTTAACTATATAGCACAGGAAAAACAACTGTAAGAATTTTGGAGAGCACAAAAATACTTTGCTAAAATTTAGCTGAGTTTGAAAGAATTTCCATCAAAATGGACTTAAATGCAAAAAGGGGTGGTATAGCAAAGTGAATATTAATTACTTTCTCCTTAATAGAGATTGTAGAGAATCAATGATTTACAGAAAATGACATCTAATGATAACTCTTTTTTGGGTCCTCTTTATAGAAGAAAATATCAACTTCTTTCCACTCACCTATTTTTAAAAATAATGAAAAATATAACAATTTCCTCAGTAAATACATCAAAGTTTGACTCCATAGGGAAGAATGAAGGAGAAAGAACTGATGACAGAAAAAGAAAAATGAGAGGAAGGGAAGAAAGTAAATACATAAACCAAAAAATACATGTAGTAGAATAGAGACAGTAAGCTAGACAAGCATTTATATCTGGACAGTCAGCTTTAGAATGCCAATGTCTACTTAAAGCCCTTTGATGGTATATTAGTTGGTTAACTACTATCTGTAACTTCCTAACTACTCAAAATATTAAATCATAAATCATGAAACTATTAAATCATGTAATATTAAGTCATTTATAGTAATTATCCACAAACACCAATAGGAAAACTATCATTTTTAAGAAAGAAGAAATGTGATTGATGACTTGTTAAAATAAAGCAGAAGGCTGAATTGTTCACCACTGATTTTATTATTTTAGATTTATATGTTTTATAGTAATAATAACTTAAGGTAAATAATTAATACTAAAATTGCTTAGCCCAGGATATCAACAACATGTTTTGAGTTTATCTAACATTTTCTAGTTTCAATTTTATATAATTAGCAGCTACTTTTTTTGTTGTTGTTTTGTTTCTGAGTCACAAATTGTATTGCTAGACTGAGGATGAATATAAGCAACCTGATTAATCATATGGAATTAGCACATATTATGACACAATACTTATAAGAGTATTTATCCCACTTGTAAAATGTTGACTATATAATATGGATTTCAGAGTGTTAGGAAAAACACATGTAGAGATTAACATGAAGACTGACAATTCTTGAGACAGAAAACTTATAGCTATTTATTATCTTTTACACAATTATAAGGAGTTTAGAGTTTTCGTTGTCATGATGTGGAGGTAATGCAGTTTGTAATGACTATTTTCTGTGTAGGCTGGTGAGTGGCCATTTAAAGCAGATATTATCATATCAAAAGAACTTTCCTTCAAAGAGGGATGGCACAAAGATAAGGAAGTTTATTTGACTTGTCATAAGCTTGCAAGGCTCAAATTCAAATAATTCCCAGAAAGCTACAGAATAACTAGAATTCTGAACAAATTTGATATTTTAAAATTTTTAATTTAAAAAATGTATTTTAAAAATGCTAAATATATGTTTACAGATGGAACATTGGGTAATAATTTGGCATGCCACAATACCCCAATATATTTCCAGAGATTGATGTTGTAGACAAAATTTATGATAGGAATTCAACAAAATTTGGAAATAACAGCTTATTACTTTTTAAATGACTAAAAATTTTAAAAAGTTAGGCTCCTAAACATTTCTTCCTTCAAACTGAAAATTATGACTACAATTTCAGCTTATTATGGTGATAATGGTATAGAGAACTCTTCATATCTAAACATATGAGTTGCCATAATAGCCGTATTCAAAAAATTCAAATTTTAGTTTTAAATATCTTTAATCTCAAAAATAATTAAAATAAGTGAATTAAGAATTCAATTCAGCAGATTAGAAAAAAAGCACATTGCATACCAGAAGACAAGTAGAAAGTTGTAAAAGATAAATATCTGAAATAAGTTATTTATATAATACATAATTTTATATTTATATACAATTAAGTATATATTTATATTTTTATATAATTTTAAAAATGAATAAAATATTGTTCCAATAAAAGCTACCAACTTGTTTTATGATCATTGTCCTCTGTACATAATTGATGAGCATCTTACTAAAGCTATTGATCTCATTCCCCATGGCTTTTTCAAGTGGAGGTTATGAGAGTTAGGTTTCTGTCTCCTGAAATTAAAAGTTTTAATGAATTCAAATGGACAATTAAACAGAAAATAAAAATGACCTCTGACTTTCTTAACAATATTAATAATAATATCAATGTCAAAATTAACAATGATTGACATTTAAATGTATGTGCTTTGCTTTACGACCCTTTTAATCTTCGCAACAAAATAAACTAAGAATTCAGTACTTTCCTTAAGTTCTTTTCCAGATGAAGCATCTGAAGCATGGAAAGATCAGATAATTTGCTCAAAATCAAAATGTGTTTAGGTTTAAAGTTTTGTTTTTTTGCTTTTATATTTGAGTTGAAACTGTAGCGAAAACATAGATGTTGTTTTGGGTCAGGTTTTCCCTGTTTAGAGGAAGCTGGTCTGCAATGTTATGCAAGGGTGAAGAAAGGCAGTATAATACATTTGTCATAGCTATTACAAATTTGACTGTGGATTCAGACTCCTGATAGATGTAAAATAACTGCATGTGTTCACAATTCATAGTTTTCCATATAATAACAATAAGTACTAAGAAGGAAATTTTAAAAGTCGCCATAGGAAAAAATTAAATTAACTTAAAACTAAATGAAGAAAAACATAAGAATACTGAGAACTTGAGGAAATGGAAAGATACAGTATAACTACTGTGAAAATATCAATTTTCTCAAATATAATAGCTAAATAAAAACACAGGAATATAGTGAAGACAAAGTTGAAAATGAATACTAATGAGGTAAAGTGTGTTTATATATAACAATTATTTAAAAAGTATAATAATTAAGTGATATAGAATTAGCATAAAAAATAGATAAATAGAACATAGCAATTTGAAAGGAGAAATATATTTATGTGAACACAAACACATATATACACACATACATGCACACTTGCTCAAAGCTACATTTGAAATCAGTGTGATAATTTAAAATAGTAAATGCTTTTCTTAATACATGGAGACTTAGGATTCCACTTAATACTATACAATGAAATTAATTTGGGTAGACTTAATATTTAAATAATTTTTAAAAATTAAACTATGATATTACTAGAACTCTATATGTGATAAAAATTTAAATAATCCTAATTAAGAAGGATATTAATGGTATTCCAAAATTGAATATTACAGAAAATATTGACAGACAGGAATAAAAAGCATTTGCCACAGGAGTACATGAAATAAAACAAATCACAAAAACAGCAAAGACAAAATCAACCAAGGAGACAAAAGACAATCTGGAAAAAAATTTGAAAATATATTAAATAAGATAAATATCCTTAATAAAGGAGAACTTTCTCAATTGACAACTAACATTCTTAAATATGTGCAAACATTTAGCATAAGCTTAACAGACATTTAGTGATGTTTGTAATAGCAAATAATAGAAAGTTTTATAGATCAAGATGGTCTTAATTATTACTCATCATATATACATAGCCATTAAAAATGTTAAGGCACGGCCGGGCGCGGTGGCTCACGCCTGTAATCCCAGCACTTTGGGAGGCCGAGGCGGGCGGATCACGAGGTCAGGAGATCGAGACCATCCCGGCTAAAACGGTGAAACCTCGTCTCTACTAAAAATACAAAAAATTAGCCGGGCGTAGTGGCGGGCGCCTGTAGTCCCAGCTACTTGGGAGGCTGAGGCAGGAGAATGGCGTGAACCCGGGAGGCGGAGCTTGCAGTGAGCCGAGATCCCGCCACTGCACTCCAGCCTGGGCGACAGAGCGAGACTCCGTCTCAAAAAAAAAAAAAAAAAAAAAAATGTTAAGGCACATTTTACAACCCTTAAAAATGTTTACTGTATTGTTCCATTGGGGAAAACATGTTCTAAAAATTAGCTACAACTCGCATCCCACAGAAGGGAATAGGAAAAAGCCAAACATAGTTTTTCTATGTAGTCAGGGGAATCACTAGAACAAGAAAGCAGTGCTAGTCAATTCCATTGACTAGGAAGCCATGGGATTTTCCTTAGATTATATGGCCTAAAACACTTTGATAAGTAGAAGATGAATTCCAAAAAGGTACTTTATTCAGCATAAATGTGGAGCATAGAAAAAAAGTGGAATAGAGGAAAACTTCATGCTGCAAAGAAACACATGGAGTGTGGAAAGTGCAAAATTAAAACAAACAAACATTCAATGTAGACCACAGAACCACAGTAGTGACAATTCAGGAGGAAATGTAGAAATCTCTTTAAGAGCAAAGTCCTTGAGATAGAATGAACATTCTCTGGCTTTTCTTGAGTTCATAAAAAGTATATAAGTAGAAAGTGAGAAAATCTATAAACCTCTGCAATATAATCACGAAAAAGAAAGAAACTGATAAAATCGAGAAAAAGTAGAAAGCAGGAATGAGCTAGAACTAATATTTGAATATTTACTTCATGGAAAACACTTTAAGTAGTACATTTTATTTATCTTCAGACTCTCCTATCTGTGTAGAATTTAAAATATGTTAAAGATAAGGAAACTAAGTTTCAAAAAATCTCAAGAAAACCCCAGTGACTTAACATGCTCACAGCTAGTAAATGAAGAAGCTAACTTCAGAATCCAAGTCTATCTGACTAGTCTATATCCTAGGATTTTTCCACCCTGCCTCTGTGCCCCCAGCAGAGTTCCTGGACAGTAGTGGTGCTTAATAAATATAAGCAATGCCACTGACACCACAATACTAGTAAGCAGGTGCCCATTCAGTGATGGTAACACAATTTCAGTATTGATTAGGGCTGAGTTAAAAATAGATGCCATTATTTGTCAACCATATTTATAATTTATTTTGTGAGGCAGAATATGTACAGGAGAATGGTGGATTTAGACAAGAATAACTTGGGAACCATTCAAAAATATTTCTGAAAGAGAAAAGATAAGAAAAATAAGATGAAATTTATAGCCAATTTTGCTCATGAGGTTTTGGATGCAAAATTCAGCAGTGACTCATACTCAGAGTATCTAAAAATAAGGTTTGGAAGGTGACACTTTCCTCTTTAAAAGTTTGTGAAAACCTTTTTTTAGTCTTTGCTTAATAATGTGTTTTTAAAAAGTATATAAGGCATTTAAATCCATTTGTGAAACATTTATCAAACAAATGCCCAAAATTATTTTCATGCATCGTTAGAACTAAAATCATACACCTTACTAATTCTGCACGTCTTAATTGATTCTATGTACACTCTTTAAAAATTGCACCTCTGTGAGAGTCACTTAGGCTACTAGAAATGAGAAATTTATTTTCTAAAGTGCTCTTCCAAAGTTATGTGCTCAGAAAATCTGGAGACTTGTGCAGAATGGAGTGATTATTAAGTTAACTGACTGTTGCAATTACTTATACCTGGATTACAAATATACTTATTAATATCGAGTGCTAATTACCCATCTTAATGAGTCAAAATCTCTTGAAAATTATATCAGTGAAAAATATGTTAATTGCTATTACAGTAGATATGGAATACATGTCAATGAAATTGTAGATATAAATTCGGTGTTTTCTGGTTCAATATTCTACCTTTTTTTCACAGTGCTAAGACCAAAAGCATAAAACCTAGTGTTATCACCAATTATTTAATTTCTTTTTCCCTTCCCCTTCAATTATTTGATTTTTTTCTCTTTCCTTCCTTGCTTGCTTTTATTCTTCCTTCCTTCCTTTTCTTCTTTTTTCTTGTTTGTAATCAAGAACTTGTCTAAATACCTTCTAAAGAAAGTATTTTGGCATGTGTATTGAGCATATTTTTATGATCCAAATTTATAGGATACTAACTGGATGATGTATCTATAATTGTAATAAGAGAGGGATTTTTGAGTCTACTACATTTGAAACCACTGGTGGCATTACTGTTATTGTGCAAAATACTGTCCCTATTTTCTTGGATAGCTGTCAAGGAAAAATTATTTCAGATTTTCAAGCAATAGTAAAATAAATGGAGTCAGATTTTTTTTTCCAGCATAATACCAGAGGAGACTTGTATAAGACTCCAGAGGACATTCAGAAAATTTCTGTTTGCAGCCAGTGAATAAACCAAAGCCTTTCAGTTGTGTTTTATTGTCAACTGAGAGATATTGGCAAGGATGCACAATGACTGTGAACCTTCCCATGAAGTCCCTGAATTCATTGACCCCAGCAAAATGCTTAATGGGAAACATATTCCCAATCACGCCTTTGACACATATGCTTGAATTCTTATGTGAATTATTTATATAAAAGCAAGTGCATACATATATATATATATATATTTTATTATGCAGCTGTGTTATGAAAACTAACTTAAATCTTATTATCTATTATAAGGTTTGTAGCATGCTTTCCTGAATCATCTACAGGAGAATTTAAGCTCAAATTCCAGAGGTTTCGACTTCTTTTTTACCAAGGGATTGGTGACAGAGCTATGAAAGTACTCTATAAAGGTGTAGCAAAAGATAAATGAGTTCTTTCAAGGTCTTTTTATACTTGGATTTATTTTTAAAATGAAGGGGGCTACTTTGTTTCTTAAATATAGTATATAGAACATTTCATGATGATGAGGAATCTCAGAAGGATTGAAGAAATTCCAAGGATGAAGCTATGGTCTGAATGCTTGTGTATCATAAAATTCATAGTTTAAAATTAAAATTCTTAATGTGATCTTATTAGGTGGTGGGACCTTCAGTACGTGATTAAATCATGAGGGCAAAGCCTTCATTAATGGAATTAGTGTCTTTATGAAAGAGACCCAAGGGATTTGTCTTTATGAAAGAGACCCAAGGGAAATAATCCCAACCCTACTCCCCACCATATGAGGTTACAAGAAAAAGGAAGTTGGACTTCCGCCAGGCACTGAAACTTGATCTGGCACCTCACAGCCTCCAAAAGTGTGAGAAATACATTTCTGTTGTTTATATTCTGTCCATTCTATGGTATTTTGTTATAGCAGCCCAAAGAAGGACAGACAATCTTAAGAACACTTCAATATATGCTTTTACAAAGTAATGCCAGACTCAATTCATGTAAGCAGAATTGCAATAATTTAGGGGCTTGATACCAGATTTCTCTTAGGAAGTCTTTTTCTGCCTTAATATTCAATAAAACGATGACCTATCAAAAACTTTATTAGGCTTGGTACAGTGGCTCATCCCTGTAAACCTAGCACTTTGGGAGGCCAAGGTGGGAGGATCACTTGAGCCAGGAGTTTAAGACCAGCCTATGCCCAGGGAGACTCCATCTCTACCAAAAAAGAAATAATAATAATTAATTAATTAAAAAATAAATTTTGAAAAAAATAGCCAGGCATGGTGGTGTGCATACACACCTGTGGTCCCAGCTACTTAGGAGGCTGAGGTGAGAGGGTGGCTTGAGTCTGGGAAGGCAAGGCTGCAGTGAGCTATAAGAGCACCACTACACTCCATCCTGGGCAACAGAGCAAGACCCTGTCTCAAAAACAAAACAAAATGATAATAATAACTTTTATTAACAAAGCACCAAGATATATTTATTTTGAGTATAGATAAGAAAGTAATATAGGGGCCACTACTATTTTTCAGATGACTTAGAAATTCATTTTAAAGGACACATTTTCTAGACAGGTGTATATTTGTACTTTGTTAAAATTTTTAAACACCTTTTTAGTCATTCCAGTTTAGAGAATGCTAAAGACATATGGTCCAAAATCTTGCCAAATCTCATTTTAGTGGAATTGGAAACATACTAAACAAAATGTTTTTCCTTGAGGAGCCCAGCAGGTTGATTTCTTGTTTTCAATAGGCACATTTGATATATTCTTTTACAAAATGGAGAATTCTCCTCCTTGGCTTCTCATCTGATATGATGAACATATAAATTATTAACCAAATCATCAAATCAGGTCAGTTTATAGAAAAAGTGGAAGTGCTATTAATAATTGTTCAGAGACAATAAGCGTAAATCAAGGTAGTCCTAGGGAATCCAGGAAGTATAGTTACCCCAATCATATAGGATAATGTTCATTTTCTCTCATAAAATGCCCTAGAATGCAATTGTACAGAAGAATGAGAGATTCCTTTCTGCTCAAAAAAAGACCCATATTCTTCTTTTCATCAAGGACACACAGCTAAACCACATTTCCCAGGCTTCCTTATCTTTCCAGCTAATTCATTGTGAACAGGAGTTTCAGGTGCTATTTCCACATTTGTCCTGTAAAAATCTTTCACTCTTTGCCCTCTATGTTCTTTTGTTTGTTTGTTTTGTTGAGACGGAGTTTCGCTCTTGTTGCCCAGGCTGGAGTGCAATGGCGTGATCTCAGCTCACCGCAACCTCCACCTCCCGTGTTCAAGCGATTATCCTGCCTCAGCCTCCCGAGTAGCTGGGATCACAGGCACACGCAACCATGCCCAGCTAATTTTGAATTTTTAGTAGAGGCAGGTTTTCACCATGTTGGTCAGGCTGGTCTCGAACTCCAGATCTCAGGTGATCCACCCACCTCGGCCTCCCAAAGTGCTGGGATTACAGGCGTGAGCCACTGCGCCCGGCCTGCCCTCTATGTTCTTTATCCCTTCTGGAAGTCTGATATGGCTATACATTCCAAGGTAACATTGGAAACCATGTTTTGATGATGTCAGAGCTTCTGTTAGTCTGTTCTTGATTGAGTGTATGGAGAATAACCCTGTCAACCTGTTTTACCTATACAGCAGTTTACCTTAGCAAGAAGTAAACTTCTTAGTGTTTGTTTTGGGTTAAATTGTTTCCCCCCAAAATGACCTGTTGAAATCATAATCCCCAATAGATCAGAATGTGATCTATTTGGATATAGGGCTGTTAGAAATGTGATTAGTTAAGATGAGGTTATATTGGAGTATGGTAGGCCATTAATCCAATATGATTGATGTCCTTATAAGAAGTGGGAAATTTGGGTACAGACATAGACACACAAAGAGAACATCATGTAAAGACATGAAGACAGACACAGTGGGAAGACAGCCATAAATATGGAACCAGAGACTGGAGTAACACTTCCACAAACCAAGGAATACCTGGCTACCCGAAGCTGAAAGAGGCAAGAAAGGATTCTCCTCTCTAGCAGCTTTGGAGGAAGCATGACCCTATCAGTATCTTGATTTGAAACTTCTAGCATCTAGAACAGTGAAAGAATAAATTTGTGTTGTTTTAAGCCACCCAGTTTGTGGCACTTTGTCTCAGCATCCCTAGGAAAGTGATACAATTTTTAAGTCATTGTGGACTTTTTTGGGTTTATTCAGTGTAGCAATTAACATCACTTAATACACAAGGAAGAGCCATGGTTTTGACACTGGGATTTTAAAAAATTATTGTTCGTGTGACGGGATGAACAAGCTTTGAAATTGGAACAGAGGTCACAGTGAGACAAAAGCAATTCCCCAGTTTCACAGTTGAAGCAATTCTACTTCCCTATAGTTGTTTTGAGGTATTTCCAAGGAATGAGTACTTTGTGATTAGTCATTTTCTCTCAGAATCAAATAGCCTTGCCAAGAAAGGGAGTTATTAAACAATCCCCATGACTGGTTAGCAATTCTCTCTTTAAGTATGTGAAAAGTCTTGTTTGGTAACCATCTATGCTTAAATACAAAAATTAAATCTAATTATTTTGAAATTTCTTTGCTTCCCCAAATATCAAAAACACAAGATTTAAGCAAGCTCCAAAATTGCTCAATAAATTTTTTCTGTGCCAATTCTTATTGCATAAGCTGCTTTCCTCTCTGGCTACTAACCCTACACCTTAATCACATAAACTCTGAAACTAAGACTCATGTCTTAAGAAGTATTTAAACAACACTAATTTCTAAAATAGGTGATGTAATGCAGTTATTCAGAAGGAAAAATATCTCAAAGACATTTAAGTAGCAATCCATTTGAAAACAGTAGGCTGTGAACTGTTTATGAAAAGCTTGTGGCTGGAATGGGTTTCCACCTTTATGTAAGAAAGACCGAAATGTACAGAGTAAATTTTACAAAAGATCAGAAAAAAAAAAAAAAAAAAAAAAGAGAGAATAAAGCTTTATGGCCGCATTTAGCATTGGAAAAGGGGCAAACTGGTAACCATAACTAAATATCTGATCTGTTTTACCACAATCAGTAAAACTTGTATCTATTTACCACTGGGAATATAACAAAAGCATCTGTGGTATACTAAATGAATTAACAACAATAAAAATGACAACAAATCCCTGAGATAAACAAACAAGATCTAAGCTGACAACCACATAGGAATTATGTAAAGAGCAGTAATATCTGATGCAGAGGATGGGGTACCCCTGAACTGCATTCAAAAATTGCTAACACATGGCAGCCTACAGCAAGTGCTCAGCCAGCTCCCTGCCAGAGAAACATGCCTTATCCACAGGTTATAGAACAAACACAGATGCAGCAAAATGAGTCACCAGAGGAAAACAAAAGCCTAAATTGAAGGTAAATGAAGCTTTGTGCACATGCATGACAAGAAATCCATTGAGCAAAACTAATTTTATATCTGTGCCAGAATGGCTGTCTTTTATGTTGGGAATAGGAAACAGGAGGGAAAGGAAAGTCACATAATAGTAGACCTTGAAGTGTACTAAGATAGAGAATACCTTCTGTACTGGAAGAAAAAGGAAAAAGAAAAAAAAAATGTATTCTAAGAGTTAAAATTCATCTACAGAGCTCTAAAATGAAATAAAGATATATTGGTACATATAAGAGAGAAATAGAAAGATGTATAAAAAAGAAAATACTGAGAATAAGAAAAATGTTCAATGGAAGTTGTAAGAAAAATACAAAAGATTCTAGAAAAATGGCTTCCTTTGTAATGCACACAAAATGATATAAAAATCAATCATCACCAGGAATATATTTTTATAAAGTTGCTCTCTAATTCTTTCTGTTTTTTAAAGTTACCATGTAACTATCTTATTTTATTGGAATCAATTATTAGCACTGAAGGAAAATTAATTTCTGAATTGTATACTGGCATAGACATTTCTACTCATTCAAAACAAAAAGTCTGTGAAACATTTCTTGCCCCTTTAACTTAATGCAGCTTCTGCAGAATGCACATACGTTTGTGTGTCTTATAGGATAGTATTACCACAAATTTCTTGAGGCAGAGGGCTATACATTAGTCCCTTGACTAAAATTAGTTTAGTCCCTAAAATTTGTTTAGGATCTCTATACTATTTTTCACTTATATTAAAAGCAGAGCTCTTTAGGACTAATTTCTTATCAGAGAAAAAAGTGGGATTTTCATACCTCACTATGAGTTAAGTTTAGTTAGCAACTTTGATGTGAATTCACCTTAGCTTCCTTGTCTTTTTAATGAGGCAATGTGATTGAATGAATTTAAGTATTCCAAATTCCTTTTCCAAGTGTGTCAATAGCATGAAGTGACCTTGGAGAGGATCTTGGCTCATACATAATAGTGTCTTGGTAGAAAGCCATTTGGCCCTAATCGAGTAGTGGATCAGCTCATCCTGCCCATTTGCCACAGACCTGCTATCTTGGACGCATGCTGCCCAGATGAACATTCCTGGTTTATAGCCCCAAGTGCTGGCTCCTAAGAGGAGGGAAGGAAAGTGAAAATCACTCTCTCTCCTGACACTGATTCCCTCTGAGGAAAATCTGTCTTCATTTAATTTGTTTAGAAGTCTTATATAGGTTAAAGAAGCAAGTTCAATCAGTGAAGCAATCTAAACTGGAGTTTTCTAAAATAGCAGACTTGCAATGAAGAGCTTACTGTACAATTAGGAAGGGATGAGAATGCATTTGCTAAAATTTGTTGATCTCTTTAGGAATGGAGATAAATTTGGGTGCTTATGAGAGAAAACTATGATACAGTTAGACCAGATCAATGAAGACTATATGGTAGAAAGGCCCTGTAGCTTTTTCTTATTCTTTTCTTATTTTTCTTTTCTTTGTGGAAGGAAATAAAAAATAAGATGCCAATGGGAAAACAACAAGAGAAGCTAGTGGCCAAAAGAAAAGCAAAAGGCTAAAGATAATATATTTGTCATCTAACAAATGAGGTTCTCTGCTTATTAAAATTTTCTGATAAAAAATAGAAGCAAAGTCGTTTATTTGAATTTTGATTCTTTGAGAAAAGTAACAGAAAACAAGGGACTTTTCAGTAGAGAATGCAGCCCATAATGCTGAACCTTCTCAACTGGTGATTCTAAACACCTCAGAGTAAATAAAACCTTTAAATTCATTTATATTAAATCTACTAGTGACCCTAGGGCTATTTGAGCCCAGAATCATGATCTGTAACTTATAATACATTTTGATTCTGTAAGAAAATAATCCATATAGGGCATAAGAACTTTTAAAGTGGAAGTTTGTTTACGGTACTGTAACTCCTGTTGAGTTTTTTTTTTAATTATACTTTAAGTTTTAGGGTACATGTGCACAACGTGCAGGTTTGTTACATATGTATACATGTGCCATGTTGGTGTGCTGTACCCATTAACTCATCATTTACATTAGGTATATCTCCTAATGCTATCCCTCCCCCCTTCCCCCACCCCACAACAGGCCCTGGTGTGTGATGTTCTCCTTCCTGTGTCCATGTGTTCTCATTGTTCAATTCCCACCTATGAGTGAGAACATGCGGTGTTTGATTTTTTGTCCTTGTGACAGTTTGCTGAGAATGATGGTTTCCAGCTTCATCCATGTCCCTACAAAGGACATGAACTCATCATTTTTTATGGCTGCATAGGATTCCACGGTGTATATGTGCCACATTTTCTTAATCCAGTCTATCATTGTTGGACATTTGGGTTGGTTCAAGTCTTTGCTGTTGTGAATAGTGCCGCAATAAACATATGTGTGCATGTGTCTTTATAGCAGCATGATTTATAATCCTTTGGGTATATACCCAGTAATGGGATGGCTGGGTCAAATGGTATTTCTGGTTCTAGATCCCTGAGGAATCGCCACACTGACTTCCACAATGGTTGAACTAGTTGACAGTCCCACCAACAGTGTAGAAGTATTCCTATTTCTCCACATCCTCTCCAGCATCTGTTGTTCCCTGACTTTTTAATGATCGCCATTCTAACTGGTGTGAGGGCTAATATCCAGAATCTACAAAGAACTCAAACAAATTTACAGAAAAAAAAAAAACCCCATCAACAAGTGGGCGAAGGATATGACCAGACACTTCTCAAAAGAAGACACTTATGCAGCCAAAAATCTCCTGTTGAGATTTCTATGACACTGTGGTTTGTCAAACTGGCGAAGCTGAACTACATTTCCAAGAATGTTTCTGGTTAAGACTGGTCACAAGACAAGTGTGTGTGAGATTTGGAAGGCAGAAAGGAAGCAATGGCCATATTTATTCTTGGGAGGTTGAATTAGATTGTGCATGTCTTTGCAGAGCTGCTAGATCATCTTGTTGATTTGGGCAACAAATGATTCCAAAGGCCAGTCCTCTTGAAATTTCTTCCATTTATAACCTCCAAATTATTGTGTGAGAAGGGCAAGGGGATAGTCAGAGAACATCATGGATTCATTCCAATGAGAGATAAACAGCAAGTTCCAGGTTGTTCCTTGGGTGCCCTGGTTGTCACTGCTCTTCCCCACTTTCCCTCTGACTGCCAATCCAGTGACTTCACACTTCGCACCAGATGAAGAAATAGCCAAACCAAGATTGTTTTAGCAGCTTCTACAATCATGTAAGGTTGCATTGCTCTACACATCTATCATTCTACAACATTTCTAGTAGTTCTGAATGAATGCTGTTCTCCCTAAATGCTTTGCTGTATTTCTAATTCTGGTATATATTATAATCCACTTCCTTAGACTACCATGCTGTTTTTTACATTATACTGTTACATTTTCTCATTAATATACACGAAACTTAGGTTGTTTTGATCTTACATCAGAAAAAAATGGATTATGCAACTAAGAACTTACTAGTACCTTCACCACCTAACAATATTCTACCTCCTTCTTCAGATTAAACTCAGTTCTCCATTGTTCCAACTTTCTACTCCTAAAGGACACATCAGAAGTTATATCTTCTATACTTTATATCACTTTCTTTTTCTTAAAGTCCATTCAGAGAAGTGAGCACTTGATCCTATCTGTTCAATTGTTTATTTTAATTAGAATGGTTAGTCTAGTAATATATGAGATTGCAATTAACAGTGTTCATTAGGAAATTCTATACAAAATATAACAAAGTTCTATTGAAGTAGCTTTGACTTAGTTTAAGGTTGATTCATTTTCTTCTGCCCCAAGTCTGTTCTTGTTTTAAACTGCTGTCTCAAATTAACTAATGATAGCATTACTCTAACATTTTTTTGTATCTTTTTAAAATTGAAACATAATAGCTGTACATATTTTTGGGGCACATGTGATATTTTGATACATGCATGCAATGTGTAATTATAAAATCAGAAGTAATTGGGATATCCATCACCTCAAACCTTTACCTTTTCTTTACGTTGGGAACATTCCCACTCTTCTTCTCTAGATAGCGTTACTTCTTTATTTATCTAAATTGTTTAAAGCATACCAGACTCTTATCATTATTTCAAAAAATTGGTTCCCCTTTATGTCTCAAAATTTCCTGTTTTAGATTTGACCAGAATGGGATAAGATCGTACGTTTGAAGAGTTGTACATCCTTTCTTGGTGTCCCAATTCTAGTTTTACTTAGTTGCTTATGGAGATTCTAGAGAATGTTTGAGCAAACTAAGTAGCTTCTCAAAATAACAACTAATGCTGTTTCACAGGGAATTAGGCAGTTTATCATATTTGGAATAAATTTTCAAATAGAAGAAAAATGCTAACAAATACTCACTGTAACCAGTGTGCAATTTTTGGTCAACAGTCGTAAACACAAAACAACCAGCATTAAATTTCTTACCCTTATCTTGCAGTAAAAGGATGTTAACAGCTGGCAATCTGTATTTGTTGGAAATTAAATATTACTGAATAAGGTTACAGAAAAATAAAAAAAATCTGCATGATTGAATTCTTTTGTTTAACACATGCTGTTTAACTCAGAAGGTTCTGGACCTATAATAAGCCCAGCTGGTTTCTTATGTTTTAATTATGTTTAAAAATACATTAGAGGTTAAAGTCTAATTTTTAATTTCAATAGTACTTGCCTACAGCTTTTTTGGCAGCCAGAATGATATTCAGTTGCATTTGCTTTTGGTATACATATATATTTATGTCTGCATTAAAATGCTTATAAAAATTTAGATAGATCCATATCCAAAAATGGTAATGTGCTTTCTTCCCCTTTGGCAAATGCACACTTAAACTGTGTGATTAGAACAAAACATCAGTATTGTACAAAATATTACATAGCATTTACTTAATCTTTATCAGTCATTCTGAACATAAGCCTTATTTAAATTACTAGGTAGAATTAGTCACTCTTAGAAAACTATCTCTATTGATGGACTACCAACAGTGCTAGCAGTGATTATTACTTTTCAAAGATATAACTGAATAAAGCATTTTCTCCATACGATATGCCATTATAGAGTTTATGGTCTATGTATTAGAAAGGTTAAAGGCAGACTCCTTCATAACTATGGATTCAACAGTGCAGGTTTGTGACCTTCAAAAGATGAATTTTAATGACCCTGAAATCTCTCTCAAATAAATTAATACATCTATATGCATGAGAAATAAGGGTGAAATAAAATGCCTAAAAAGCTAAATAAAGTAGAAAAGAAAACAGTAAACTTTAGCAGAACAAGCACTTTAGTTTTTTATTTCCTCTAGGAGGCAACTTGATGCCAGCTAACCACATGGACATAACAGAAGGTATTGTGGGCAGGAATGTCAATGTGCTTGCTTTTTCTCACCTTAGGAAAGTGGAGCAGGCTGTTAGCCACTAAAATGAATCATCCTATTGGGAAGAAAGTGGTTCACCTTTGCCCCTTTTTCTCAACCCCAGGCCCCAGAGCACTAAATGAGCTAGAATCAGTGCTGCCCAGGTTGACCCTTGGCTTCATAGTTGGAAACTCCACCATCAGTGGAGCCAGCTGCTGCCATTCTCCCTGGGAAGAGCATTTTGCCAAGAGGGACAATTTTTCTTTGAGTCACCACACGACCCTGGCATGTATGATGGTGTCAGTGCTGCTACCACATCTGTGAAGACAAGTTTAAATCTGGGAGACCATTCAAATGCTTGGCCTCAACATAAACCTGAATGTTTCTCCATGGTTTTGCCTCCACTGTTTTAATGTAAGAATTACATTCTCTTCAGCTGTATGGCCAGACAAACATTCCCATCCAGCAGGGGTGTTTTACAATTTAATTCAAGCAGAGCACAACACAGCAGCAACATACCTCCAAAATGGGAGTCCTAGAAAATACTGAAGAGAACCAGCCAGGGTGCACTACAGTATTTTTTAAACCTCGTGTGCTATAGGAGCATTTTACAATGTGTATTAAGGGAAAAGATTTTTGGACTATGTCGAAGGGGATAAAATATGATGCCTCTCAGAATTAGCATATTGGAGGTTAGTAAATGAAAAGAACTCTAAAGGGAAAGAAAGCCCAGAAATTGGTGTTCGTTCCTCTCTGCATTATTCTCTTCTACATCTGAAAATTCAGTGTGGGTCTCTGCCAAAAATATTGAGGTCGCTGTGTTTCTATGAGTGTGTGTATGTGCTGGGAACTGGGCATGAAGAAGGGGATTTGCATGTTTGTGTAATTTACAAAAGATAAATAAGTTGCCTGTAGTATTAACGCTATGATTTGAATCGGGGGATCAGGGAGGCCCTGATGTAAGGACTGCTCATATTTCCTTGCATATGGCTGTTTAATTTAGTAATACAAAACAAATCAAAACAAGTAGAAAGTCTCTTGCAGCCTTCTTTTGAATTAATATGGGGCCCATAGCAACTGAGATTGGTGCTCATGTTCTCTCCATAGGCTAAGGTACCCATTCATTTAATAAACATTTACTAAGACCATATTGTGTGCCAGGTACTAATTTAGGTACTATTCTGCCATCAAAAAGAAACGTCCCTGCTTTCAATGGAGCTTACATTTCAGTGTGGGGTATGAGAGGAGGAAACAAAATAAACAAGTTTTAACATGGCCTATCAAATGGCGATGCACAGTATTAAGCAAAGTAAAAAAGAAGGATAAAGAGAAGAGGGATGGAGGAAATGCTGTGATTTGAAATATAGTTCTCAAAAGGGACTTTTCATAGAAGATGACATTTGAACAAAGATTTGAAGGAATTGAGAAGTCAAGCTTGTGTATATCTTGTGTATTCAAGTTGGAGAGAAGAGTAAGTATGAAAGTACAAAGGCTTACAGGCAGCAGTGTGCTCAGAGTGTTTGAGGAACGGGAAGAAGACACCACTGAAGTGGGCAAAGTAGGGTAGAGAAGATGAGTAGGGAATAACCATAAGGATGGCTCTGATATAGGAAGTTATTTAAGCAACATGAGCAGAAGAAAGATGTGATCTGGCTTACGTGTTAAAAGAATTAAAGTATTCTATTGAAAATACTGTCTAATACTTCGTAGGAAGCAGTAACAGAAATAAAGAGAAACACTAGGAAGCAAATGAATGATTAATTCAGAAGAGACACAATGCAGCATTGAGTGAGGTGCTGACAGTGGAGGAGATAAAGCATGTGAGATTTTTCTCATTTTTGAAAGATTGAGTGAAAAAAATTTTCCGGTGGATTAGATGTAGATTATGAGAAAAGGAGAGAAGCTAAAGACAACCCTCACATTTTTAGCCTAAGCACATGGTAAAATAGAGATGTGTTTATTGACCTAGTGACAACCTTAGAAAAATAGGGTGGGGGCACATATCAGTTTTGAACACATTGAATTTGAAATGACAGATAATCAGTAGTAGATGCTGAGCAGGTAATAGGACATGCAAATCAGGAATTTAGAGACATTGTCTATGTTAAAGGTACAGACTGGGAATTTTACACATAGATAATATTTAAAGCCATACTTCAGGAAACCAAAACTGACACTTCCCCCTGTTTCCACTATAATTGAGCACTTCATACACCATAGTTTGAAAACAAGCAAACAAAACAAAACAAAAACTGTACATTCTGAGACTGAAACAAAACTAATAGGATTTCTTTAACTGGTTCTGGTACTCGAAATAATAAAACCTTGGATATTGTTTACAAATCTGGAATTTGTAACACAAAGAAGTAATCCCTGAGTTATGATATATTGATATCTAAATATATGTCATGGCCTTTATGAATATAATAATCATTTCAGAAAGTTGTCTTCCCACTGTGAATAGACTAATGAAAATTTAGTAACTTCGATCGATTTTTAGATTTTCCACCCTTCAGATATGCCCTGTGTTCTTTATTTGGTAAGTCAGTACTCCTGATATCTGACTGTCTCGCACACTTGATAAGAAATGTGTTTCCTTTTTCAAAGTGGCATCACCTAGGAGTAAATCTAAATGATGAAGAGGTCCAATTGAGGCTGGGCAGTAGCTGTCAAACCTGGACTCATGTTAGAAACACCTGGGGATATTGAAAAGCTACCTTTGCCCAGGTTCCATGCCAAACCAATTATTTATGATTCTTTGGAGGTAAACCTCAGGTATCTGTTTCCAAAAGTCCTCAGTTAATTCTAGTGTGTAGCCAAAAAAGTGGTAAAAATCATTGATGTAGAGGTTGCAGAGATAATAAGAAACAAGAAAGGAAGACCAAGAAGAAATGGTGAGAGAGAATTGGCCCTAGAGTCAAGTAAAAATACTGAAGAAGGAGGGAAAAATCAATATATCAAGCACTACTGATAGACCAATAAAATAAGTAATAAAACTTGGTCATTGAATTTGGCAATGTGGCTGTCCTTAGTAAATTTATAAAACATAGTTCAGTAGATTTCAAAGAAAAGAGAGGGATAAGAGGTAGAAAAATAATATATAGACAACTCTTTCAAGGAATTTTTCTCTAAAGGGGAGACCAGAGGAATGCAGGCAAATAATGAGGCTGTGAGATTAAGAAAGATTTTTTTTTCAAATAAAGTACTGGTTTATTATGTATTTGAGAATGAGTCTGTATGTGTAATGAAAAATTGTGTACACATGAATGAAAGAAGCGAATTACTGAAGCAGTGGCTCTGAGTAGAAGATGAGTTGAAGCCAGTGAAGAAATGGTAGATTTGGCCTTAAAAACAGAAGCATAAAATTCTATTCCTGGAGGAGGGAAATTAGGGGCATGTGACTACAGATGCAAGTACATTGGTAGATTTAGAGAAGAAAAGCATATGGAAGCTCTACCTGATTCTCAGTGAAATATGAACAAGGTCATCAAGTTAATGTAATAAAAAGGAAGGCCACTCAGGGTGGGGTCCCCAAATCAGCAGCATACTCATCACCTGGGAGCTCGTTAAAACTCCAGAATTACTGCTCCCACAAGAGACCTATTGAATCAGAATCTGTGTTTTTAATATAAGATCCTCAGGTGATTTATATGCAGATTCAAGTTTGAGAGGCACTGATCTAGAAAAAAGGAGTGGAAAAGTTAAAGGATTACGGAAATATGGTAGGCTAGCTGACAAGCATTAAGGGCCCGCTGGAGGTTAATTATCGCATAACCAATTAGCATAGTTATGAGGTTTTATACAAACAGTTAAAATATGCGGGTCCAGGTTGAAGATTACCAGAGAGTTGCTTTAACAAGAGTTAAATTTTGTCTGAAGAGGACAGAGTGATAAATAAGCAAGAGTTTACAGT
This sequence comes from Homo sapiens, assembly GCF_000001405.40. NCBI lineage: Eukaryota > Metazoa > Chordata > Mammalia > Primates > Hominidae > Homo > Homo sapiens. The sequence continues at coordinate 92,091,841 of NC_000004.12, read as the reverse complement.
AATTTTAAGGAAGTTATGATTAAGAGGTCTGGGGATTTAAAGTGGGGTGATGTAGAAAATGAGAACAGGATAGAGTGAAATGGGAAGGTCAAGGTGTCAGAGGCATGTGAACCAGAGTAACTCCATGTTGAACAGGAGCTGGTTAAAATAAGGCTGAGACCTACTGGGCTGCATTCCTGGATGGTTAAGGCATTCTAAGTTACAGGATGAGATAGGAGGTCGGCACAAGATACTGGTCAAAAAGACATTGCTGATAAAACGGGTTGTCATAAAGAAGCCGGCTGAAACCCACTAAACCCAAGATGGCCACAAGAGGGACCTCTGGTCGTCCTCACTGCTACACTCCCACCAGCGCCATGACAGTTTATAAATGCCCTGGCAATGTCAGGAAGTTAGCCTATGTGGTGGTCTAAAAACAGAAGGCATGAATAATCCACCCCTTGTTTAGCACATAATCAAGAAATAACCGTAAGAATGTGCAACCAGCAGCCCTTGGGGCTGCTCTGTCTATGGAGTGGCCATTCTTTTATTCCTTTGCTTTCCTAATAAACTTGCTTTCACTTTACAGACTTGCCCTGAATTCTTTCTTGCGCGAGATCTAAGAACCCTCTCTTGGGGTCTGGATGAGGACCACCTTCCTGTAACATCTTTCTGGCAACCACAGAAGGGACACAAAGGCTACCTTTGGGTAAGTGGTGGGGTCCGGTAACATCTTTCTGGTGAACCACAGAAGGGACTATACTGAAGAGACCCGAGATCCAAAGGGAAATAATCTGCGAGCACCAATTGGCTGACTTTGCTTAAGTGGGGTGCATATATCTGGGTAAAGAATGGGGTTGAGGTAGCAGCCTAACTTGGGGGAGTTAGAGTCTCTCCTAAGACAGAGAGGGTTAAAGGATCCTCTTAATAAAAGGCAAGGACGCCGGATGGATCCTGGGTTAGGGGTCTGACTTAGGAGTGTTAGAATCCAGTCTAAGATTTAGGGTGTTAAAAGCCCTTCTCAGTAAAGTCCCTTTTGGCTAGGAATGTGTTTGGCACTACAGGATTTTAACTGCTATTCTCTTTGGAATAATCTGCCTTGCACTCTTTGCTAACAGCTGTGGGTGACAGGATTAGGTATATACAGGATCGTGGGACATGGGGAGCTTTTTCCTCCCTGAAAAGGGGAAACTTGAGAGCTGATGGGACTCCCTGAAAAAAAAATCCCTTCACAACAGCAGCCGCCTGAACTTTTCAGTGTCGCCGCAATGGGTGTGTCCCTCTCTGGCCTCCCTGAGCATTTCACATTCCCTACCCCGCTGCATGCAATGCTTTCCTCTCTCTTTTCTATCTTTTCTTTTACTCAGGGCTACCATCTTGCCCAGAGACCACATATTGAAACTCCTGGTCGGAGGTTGAGTTAACGATGATGGGGCAAGTTTGAGCCTTGCCAGTTTGATACTGGGTACTAAGCAGAGTGGTTAATGTCTATGTTTTGTCACAGATATTTTATTCTGGCCAGGATGAAAAGAGATAATTCTCCTTTGTATTTCAGCTTGGCCCCCAGGGCTAGGGTCCAGCCGCCGGGTCACTAGGACCACTCAAAGAAAGGGAACACAAAAGCCTCACGTGCCAGCAAAAGGGTAAGAATTTCTTACTAGTCAGAATTCTAGCCTCTCTCTGTCTCTTTCTGTGTGTGTGTGTTGGGGGGGGGGGGGGGGATGGGTGTGTAAACTATATGAGGTTTCTTTCTGGTGAGTCATGTCCTTGGGACCTTGACCTTGTAGCCATGTGGCAGTACCTACTCTTGGTCTCCACCATCACAGTGGTGGCTGGGGTTCAGGATTAAATTCCCGGCTTGGGGGATGATCACTTATCTTCTGTCTGTCTATGTATTTATATGTATTATGTGTGTGTAATATAAAAGAGCTTTAATTAATTGGTTCAATAACAAGAGCTTAAATCAAATATTTTGTCAGAAAAGTAAAAAGTGTAATGTCTTTTTGTTCACATGACTTAAGTAATCTCTGGGAAATAAAGACAGCTTTAAAGATTATTGGTAAAATAAAGACAGTTGGTCTAAATTATGCAGGTCAGATATTAAGTTGTACAAAAGCTTTAAGGTCATAAGCTGTTTCTTTGACTTTTGAAAATTGTTCAATGTACCTACTTTGGAGCATTAGATTCTAGATAAGGCCTAGGGACATGTGGAATTAGCCATGCCCCCTAGCTATGCAAAGAAGGTTCCTCATAAAATGCCACTACGACTCATAACTGTACGACTTGCCTGCTTTACAACTAGGTAAGGCCTGGGAACATGTGGAGTTAGCCATGCCCCCTATCTGTGCTAGAAAATGTCAGACCTTATCTGCACTTCTGCGTGGTATGTCCTAGGCTAGGCTCCACACCTAGTACATAATCAAAATCGATTACTAACCAGGCTTTTCACCAAAAGTAAGTCGCTAAGAGTTAACAGTGTAACATGTATTTGAGACTGCTGAAGAAACAGTTCTACATGCAAGGCGTGTAAGTGAAGTGAAATGTGTTTTTGGTGAAAGATTATAAGAAGGCATGGGAATGTGGATTTCTTGCCTAAGTTTCAGGTGTTAAAGAATGTTTTCAGTTAAATAGAATAAAGCTAAAGCTTTGAGCAAGTTATGAAAGGTTTGTGAAAAATTAATTGTAAAAAAATCTATGTGTGAACATATTAGCTAAATTTAAAGGGGTATTCAGTTTTTCTATAAAAACTTTTATAGAAAAGAACAAAAAGAGCCCTCTTTTGGGGTCTGGATCAGGACCCCTTTCCTGTAACATCTTTCTGGAATGCCCTACTCTGTCTATGGTGTTGTTGGACTTTTACTACTTTACTTTCTTAATAAACTTGCTTTTACTTTGCACTGCAGACTTGCCCTGAATTCTTTTTTGCACAAGATCCAAGAACCCTCACTTGGGCTATGGATCTGGTCGCCTGTTCTGTAACAAAGATGTTGTGGTTTCTAGCCTGGGGGAAGTTAAAGTACTGTTGGAGTTGTGGTACTACATGGAATGAACTGGAAATATTTTCCTCATCTCTTCTTAATTATAATTGATTGCTAAGAGTGGCATTTTACAAGATTGCTTAACTTTCTATTTTTCTTTTAAATTCATTTCTCCTAAGCTGAACATTACTCATTTTCCTACTACCCTGAGTCTATTTTTCCCCTTAATTATAGGGTTATATCTCAAAGTGTTTTCTCTGCCACTTCTTGGCTTTTTCACCTGTACCCCTAGTATAGCATTTCCAATTTTACTCCAATACGGATGAGACTCAATCTCTTGGAGAGCAAGAGCTCAAAAGAAGCAACTACTTATTGTAACCACCCAAGGGGTTCCTCCTGCCCACTGCATAAAGAAAGAGCGCAGCATTGTACTAGAGAAAGAGTTTAATAGACATGAGGCTGGCCACGCCATATGGGAGATGGAGTTCATACTCAAATCATCTCATTCAGAGCTCATAGATTAGGGGTTGTTCAAGAGCAGTTTGGGGAAAGGGGTGGGGGTTGCCAGGTAACAGGTGCTTGCTGCTGAATGGTTAGGGTACAGATGAAATCATAGGGGGTTGAAGCTGTCCTGCTGCCAGCCAAATCTGTGTAGGGCCACAGAAGCGGGGTTGTTAGTCCAGGTGGTGCCCTGGGTGTCAGACATGCAAAAAACCTGGAAAGATATCTTAAAAGGCCAACCTACAATAGTAGTAGTATTTGCAGGAGCAATTGAAGACACTGCATATCTTACAACCTCTGGAATAATGTCTGCACCTTAGCAGGTCTCAGGCTCCTCTCCCCCCACTTAGCCTGATGACCTCCTATTAGCTTTACAAAAGTGGTTGAGTTTTGGGCAAGACCTATTATCATTTAAACTGTAGCCTGAATGTCTTCCAAAATTATCTTGGCCCAGTAGCCCATGAATAATTAAAGGAAAGGCAAGTTGGGGGTTGGGTTAGCTTAGCTGACTGTTATAATTTTCTCACTGATATAACTTTTGCAAAAGCAGCTTCATTATCAAAGGCCATTAAAAAGACTGGATGCACACCTGAAAAAACTATGGTAACTTTCTGAAGCTAGACCAGATGTTGGTTGGGGACAAAAGAGAAAAAGACTGACTACTCAGAATAGAGAAAGTTTGAATGAAAAGATTTTGGTTAAAAGTAAAAGCTGTGTGGAGAATACCTCAGCTTTAGGCTCTGCCTCTGATTACAGGTGAGAAAAGACTATCAACTGTCAACTACTACACTTGTAGAACATGAAGTTTGAAGTGTGGACCATCAGTACCCTAGAGAATATTTAGCCTGTCAAAGAAAATTGTACAGGACAACTTAGATGAGCAACAAATATTTTATTCAGGATGATGGCAATAGGGATGAAGACTATTAAGCTCAACTCTGTTGGGGGAGCTAGTGGAAAAATACTGGAAGATGTTAGGTGGGAGGTTGGTCAGTGTCATTAGGCCATCTGTGTTTGCTAATTAGTGATTAGTGTAGTTAAACTCCTGTCCTCTCACAGAATATGAGACATAGGGGCACCATCTTTCTTGATGATTACATTTCAAAGGGATAGCTTCCATGTACTTGAGAAAGACATTCCTGGTTTGAAAAACTGGCAGGAGTCTGAAAGAACATTTATATCTCAAGGAACAGGAAATAATTTGCATTGGAAGTTTTTTAAAGAAAAAAAAGGCCGGGAGCCTATAGACAGGAAGAAATCTGTCTAAAGTTTGGTCAAGCTGAGGGGAACATTAAGGCCATCTTGATCAAATTCTTCTCTTCAAAGCCTATCTCTTTCTCTTCAAAGCATGTGATAACCCACCATCTCATAGTAACAAGGGAGATGAATGAGCATCTTGGGTGCCTTTGACATAGAAGGAAAAATTGCCTATAGATTGAAGTCAGGTTAGACAGGTCAAGTTGAAAATTGCTCTAAGAACTCAATAAGAACTCATATTAGTTTCCACTTCCCATCACAATCTACTCATCATCTTATGAGACACTTTCAAAATTTTCACACAAAATCTGTCACACTTATGTTACTTAGCATGTAACACAAGTGCAATATATGTAATGTTAACAAATACATTAGTGCTAAGTATGAAAAAGAGCAAACATATTCAGTAAAATGTCACAGCCAAGTCATTCTGATAGAACTTCTGCCATGTGCCTGCAAAGTGGGACAGGGCTTTGCTCTGGAGCACTGTTCATATTTATGAAAGTTCTTAACTTTCAACTTGTGATTTGAGAAATTTTTGTGCTATATTCTTGACTTGAAGAGATTAAAAATTCAAAACAAAACCCCAAATCAGCCTTAAATCACAAATCAATAACTATCATAGTTTATAACAATATTTACTCATACCTATTTGTGATTTAGTAGGTCATTCTCAGTGCCACGTTGCTTTGACCATTATTTATTTATATACTCTTTAAGGAATGTTGTTAACATGGGAGAAATTTATTTGACACTGGTGTGACATTGTGCCAGGATGTGGAATCGTTGAAGCTGATGTCTTCTACATTATTCAGTGGAGTACAATGTTCTGTTACTCTAGAACAGGGTAAAAAGCAAGTCTGCCTCATGCACTGTCATATAATCCCAGATAGCGGAGTGCCTGAACATAGTAGGCCCTCAAGAAATATTTGCTGTGTATAGATGTAGATTATGCCAGATATTTTATACTGAAAGTAGAATTTATATCAAAATCTAAATTTATCATCCCTGTAAATTTTATGTATACATTAGGGTTCTATGTTTTACTAATTAAAAACAGCACACATTCAGTAGTTTTCTGAATATTTGGTTATGCACATGCTTATCTTTGTGCCTACAGATTTTATTCTTTGATTTGCACTTGGTGTTTTTTTTTTCATTTTTGTTATTCTCCAGAAAATAATGTATATTTTCTCTGAAACAATTGATATTTATACAATAGTTTCTAGTAATTATTTTATGAAATTATTTCAAAGTAATGAAATTGGAATAACCTTAAAATTTAAAGATCCTTGCATTTTGGAAATATCTTCTCTTCCCTTATTTTTTCTTCACTTCCTTTCCTTTCTCTCTTTCCTTTCTTTTCTTTTCCTTTAATAGAAATGCAGATATTGTTGTCTAAGCAACTTATAAGGGTGGCAGCTTCCATTTGTCATGTGCTAAATTTGACTAGTTAATCTACTTAGTGCTTTTAAAAACCTCATTAAATTGTTAAAGTGATTCCTCAAAATAGGTATTTTCTTACAGGTGAAAAAACAGGATTGTAGAGTTTGTATAGTGACAGCAAGGTGAAATGGATAGCTAGGCATGATTTGAAGGCAGAAATATATGTCATCAAAGTTTATGAACATTTCACTATCTCCAGATGCCTCATATGGCCCAAATTATAGATGGGCACTTACATTTAAAATCATACTTAACTCAAGAATATGAGTAATCTTTCAGAAAATTAGTAACAACAGCACTAATGCTGTAAATTAGTATATCCCTTAAACATTGCAAATGAGAATCTTGGTTGTATGATTAGTAGATAAAATTTACTCAAGGTGTTCCCTAAACAATTGTTAGTCATTGTTTTCCCTGAAAATATTTGTAGGTGCTAATGTCAGCTTGCAAAAAAATTCAGCTAGGAAGATGTTGAAAAAATTGCTAGAAATGAAACTATATACTTATTTATTTAGCTTGAATGCCTGTTTCAAACTGTCTAGCAATTTTCATTCTTTTCTTTTTTTTAAATTATACTTTAAGTTCTGGGATACATGTGCAGAACATGCAGATTTGTTATATAGGTATACCTGTGCCATGGTGGTTTGCTGCACCCATCAACCCATCATCTACATTAGGTATTTCTCCTAATGCTGTCCGTCCCCTAGACACCCACCCCACAACAGCCCCCAGTGTGTGATGTTCCCCTCCCTGTGTTCATGTGTTCCCGTTGTTCAACTCCCACTTACGAGTGAGAACATGCAGTGTTTGGTTTTCTGTCCTTTGTTAGTTTGCTGAGAATGATGGTTTCCAGCTTTATCCATGTCCCTGCAAAGGACATGAACTCATCCTTTTCTATGGCTAGATAGTATTCCATGGTGTATATGTGCCACATTTTCTTTATTCAGTCTATCATTGATGGGCATTTGGGTTGGTTCCAAGCCTTTGCTATTGTGAACACTCCTACAATAAACATATGTGTGCATGTGTCTTTATAGTAGAATGATTTATAATCCTTTGGGTAAATACCCAGTAATGGGATTGCTGGGTCAAATGGTATTTCTGGATCTAGATCCTTAAGGAATTGCCACACTATCTTCCACAATGGTTGAACTAATTTACACTCCCAGCAACAGTGTAAAAGCATTCCTATTTCTCCACATCCTCTCTAGCATCTGTTGTTTCCTGACGTTTTAATGATTGCCATTCTGACTGGCATGAGATGGTATCTCATTGTGGTTTTGATTTGCAGTTCTCTAATGATCAGTAATTATGAGCTTTTTTTCATATGTTTGTTGGCCACATAAATGTCTTCTTTTGAGAAGTGTCTGTTATTATCCTTTGCCCCATTTTTGATGGGGTTGTTTGCTTTTTTCTTGTAAATTTGTTTAAGTTCCTGCTAGATTCTGGATATTAGACCTTTGTCAGATGGATAGATTGCAAAAATTTTCTCCCATTCTGTAGGTTGCCTGTTCACTCTGATGATAGTTTCTTTTGCTGTACAGAAGCTCTCTAGTTTAATTAGATCCCATTTGTCAATTTTGGCTTTTGTTGCCATTGCTTTTTATGTTTTTGTCATGAAGTCTTTGCCCGTGCCTATGTCCTGAATGGTATTGCCTAGCTTTTCTTCTGGGTTTTTGTGGTTTTAAGACTTACGTTAAAGTCTTTAATCCATCTTGAGTTAATTTTTGTATAAGGTGTAAAGAAGGGGTCCAGTTTTAGTTTTCAGCATACGGCTAGCCAGTTTTCCTAACACCATGTATTAAATAGGGAATCCCTTCCCCATTTCTTGTTTTTGTCAGGTTTGTCAAAGATCAGATGATTGTAGATGTGGGGTGTTATTTCTGAGGCCTCTGTTCTGTTCCATTGTTCTAAGTATCTGTTTTGGTACCAGGACCATGCTGTTTTGGTTGCTGTAGCCTTGTACTATAGTTTGAAGTCAGGTAGCAGGATGCCTCCAGCTTTGTTGTTTTTGTTTAGGATTGTCTTGGCTATACGGGCTCTTTTTTCATTCTATATGAAATTTAAAGTTGTTTTTCCTAATTCTGTGAAGAAAGTCAATGGTATCTTGATGGGGATAACATTGAATCTATAAATTACTTTGGGCAGTATGGCCATTTTCACCATATTTATTCTTTCTATCCACGAGCATGGAATGTTTTTCTGTTTGTTTGTGTCCTGTCTTATTTCTTTGAGCAGTGGTTTGTAGTTCTCCTTGAGGAGGTCCTTCACATTCCTTGTAAGTTGTATTCCTAGGTACTTTATTCTCTTTGTAGCAATTGTCAATGGGAGTTATATCATGATTTGGTTCTCTGTTTGTCTATTATAGGTGTATAGGAATGCTTGTGATTTTTGCACATTGATTCTGAATCCTGAAACTTTGCTGAAGTTACTTATAAGCTTAAGGAGATTTTGGGCTGTGATGATGGGGTTTTCTAAATATACAATCATGTCATCTGCAAACAGAGACAATTTGACTTCTCTCTTTCTATTTGAATACACTTTATTTCTTTCTCTTGCCTGATGGACCTGGCCAGAACTACCAATGCTATGTTGAATAGCAGTGGTGAGAGAGGGCATCCTTGTTTTGTGCTGGTTTTCAAAGGGAATGCTTCCAGCTTTTGGCCATTCAGTATGATATTGGCTGTAGGTTTCTCATAATTAGCTCTTATTATTTTGAGATACGTTCCATCAATATCTAGTTTATTGAGACTTTTTAGCATGAATGGTATTGAATTTTATCAAAGGCCTTTTCTGCATCTATTGAGATAATCATGTAGTTTTTGTCATTGGTTCTGTTTATGTGATAGATTACATTATTGTGTATGTTGAACCAGCCTTCCATCCTAGGAATGAAGCTGACTTGATCGTAGTGGATAAGCTTTTTAATGTGCTGCTGGATTCTGTTTGCCAATATTTTATTGAGGATTTTCTCATCAATGTTCATCAGGGATATTGGCCTGAAATTTTCTATTTTGTTGTGTCTCTGCCAGGTTTTGATATCAGGATGTTGCAGGCCTCTGAAAATGAGCTAGGGAGGAGTCTCTCTTTTTCTATTGTTTGGAATAGTTTCGGAAGGAATGGTATTGGCTCCTCTTTGTAACTCTGGTAGAATTCAGCTGTGAATCCGTCTGGTCCTGGGCTTTTTTAGGTTGGTAGGCTATTAATTACTGCCTCAATTTCAGAACTTGTTATTGGTCTATTCAGGGATTCGACTTTTTCCTGGTTTAGTCTTGGAAGGGTCTATGTGTCCAGGAATTCATCCATTTCTTCTAGATTTTCTAGTTTATTTGCATAGAGGTGTTTATAGAGGTATATACTCTGATGGTAGTTTGTATTTCTGTGGGATCAGTGGTGATATCCCCTTTATCATTTTTTTTATTGTGTCTATTTGATTCTTCTCTCTTTCTTCTTTATTAGTCAGGCTAGCAGTCTATCTATTTTGTTGATCTTTTCAAAAAAAAAAAAAACAACTCCTGGATTCATTGATTTTTTGAAGAGTTTTCTGTGTCTCTATCTCCTTTGGTTCTCCTCTGATCTTAGTTATTTCTGGTCTTCTGCTAGCTTTTGAATTTGTTTGCTCTTGCTTCTCTAGTTCTTTTAATTGTGACGTTAGGGTGTCAATTTTAGATCTTTCCCACTTTCTTCTGTGGGCATTTGGTGCTATAAATTTCCCTCTAATCACTGCTTTAGCTGTGTCCCAGAGATTTTGGTATGTTGTGTCTTTGTTCTTATTGGTTTCAAATAACTTATTTATTACTGCCTTAATTTCATTATTTACCCAGTAGTCATTCAGGAACAGTTAGTTCAGTTTCCATGTAGTTGTGCAGTTTTGAGTGAGTTTCTTAATCTTGAATTCTAATTTGATTGCACTGTTGTCTGAGAGGCTGTTAGGATATCCGTTTTTTTGCATTTGCTGAGAAGTGTTTTACTTCTAATTATATGGTCAATTTTAGAATAAATGTGACATGGTGCTAAGAAGAATCTATATTCTGTTATTTGGTGTGGAGAGTTCTGTAGATGTCTATTAGGTCTGCTTGGTCCACAGCTGAGTTCAAGTCCTGAATATCTTTGTTAATTTTCTGTCTCATTGATCTAATATTGACAGTGGGTGTTATAGTCTCCCACTATTATTGTGTGGGAGTCTTAGTCTCTTTGTAGGTCTCTAAGAACTTGCTTTATGAATCTGGGTTCTTCTGTATCAGGTGCATATATATTTAGGATAGTTAACATAGTTAACTCTTCTTGTTGTATTGATCCCTTTACCATTATGTAATGCCCCTTTTTGCCTTTTTTGATCTTTGTTGGTTCAAAGACTGTCTTATCAGAGACTAGGATCACAACCCCTGCTTTTTTTTTATTTCCATTTTCTTGGTAAATATTCCTCCATCCCTATACTTTGAGCCTATGTTTGTCTTTGCACATGAGATGGGTCTCCTGAATACAGCACACTGGTGGGTCTTGACTCTTTATCCAATTTGCCAGTGTGTGTCTTTTAATTGGGGCATTTAGCCCATTTACATTTAAGGTTAATATTGTCATGTGTGAATTTGATCCTGTCATTATGATGCTAGCTGGTTATTTTGGAATTTCTTCATAGTGTTGATGGTCTGTACAATTTGGTGTGTTTTTACAGTGGCTGGTACCAGTTTTTCCTTTCTATAGTTAGTGCTTCCTTCAGGATCTCTTGTAAGGCAGGCCTGGTGGTGACAAAATCTCTCAGCATTTGCTTGTCTGTGAAAAATCTTATTTCTTCTTCACTTATGAAACTTAGTTTTGCTGGATATGAAATCCTGGGTTGAAAATTATTTTCTTTAAGACTCTAGAATATTGGCCCCCACTATCTTCCGGCTTGTAGGGTTTCTGCAGGGAGATCCACTGTTAGTCTGATGGGCTTCCCTTTTTGGGTAATCCGACCTTTCTCTCTGGCTGCCTTCATCACAACCTTGGCAAATCTGATGATTATGTGTCTTGGGGTTGCTCTTCTAGAGGAGTATCTTTGTGTGTTCTCCGTATTTCCTGTATTTGAATGTTGGCCTGTCTTGCTAGGTTGGGGAAGTTCTAGATAACATCCTGAAGAGCGTTTTCCAACTTGGTTCCATTCTTCCTGTCACTTTTAGGTACACCAATCAAATGTAGGTTTGGTCTTTTCACATAGTCCCATATTTCTTGGAGGCTTTGCTCATTCCTTTTTATTCTTTTTTCTCTAATCTTGTCTTCATGCTTTATTTCATTAAGTTGATCTTCAATCCCTGATATGCTTTATTCTGCCTGATCGATTCGGCTATTGATACTTTTATATGCTTCACAAAGTTCTTGTGCTGTGTATTTCACCTCCATCAAGTCATTTATATTCTTCTCTAAACTGGTTATTCTAGTTAGCAATTCGTCTAACTTTTTTTAAGGTTCTTAGCTTCCTTGCGTTGGGTTAGAACATGCTCCTTTAGCTCGGAGGAGTTTGTTATTAGCCACCTTCTGAAGCCTACTTCTGTCATTTCATCAACTCATTCTCCATCCAGTTTTGTTCCGTTGCTGGTGAGGAGTTGTCATCCTTGGGAAAAAAAGAGGCATTCTGGTTTTTGGAATTTTTAGCATTTTTGTGCTGGTTTTCCCTCATCTTCGTGGATTTATCTACTTTTGGTCTCTGATGTTGGTTACCTTCAGATGGGGTTTTTGTGCTGACATCCTTTCTGTTGATGTTGATGCTATTCCTTTCTGTTTGTTAGTTTTCCTTTTAACAGTCAGGCCCCTCTGTTGCAGGTCTGCTGAAGTTTGCTGGAGGTCCACTCCAGACCTCATTTGCCTTAGTATCACCAGAAGATGCTGTAGAACAGCAAAGATTTCTGCCTGTTTCTTCCTCTGGAAGCTTTGTCCCAGAGTGGCACTGGCCAGATGCCAGCTGGAGCTCTCCTGTATGAGGTGTCTGTCAACTTCTGCTGGGAGGTGTCTCCCAGTCAGGAGGTATGGGGGTCAGGGACCCACTTGAGGAGGCAGTCTGTCCTTAAGAAGAACTTTAGTGCTGTGTTGGGAGATCCACTGCTCTCTTCAGAGCTAATAGGCAGGAATGTTTAAGTCTGCTGCAGCTGCGTCCACTGCTTCCCCTTCCCCCAGGTGCTCTGTCCCAGGGAGATGGGAGTTTTAATTATAAGCCTCTGACTGGGGCTGCTGCCTTTCTTTCAGAGATGCCCTGCTCAGAGAGGAGGAATCTAGAGAGGCAGCTTGGCGACAGCGGCTTTGCTGAACTGTGGTGGGCTACACCCATTTCGAACTTCCCTGTGACTTTGTTTACACTGTGAGTGGTAAACCACCTATTCAAGCCTCAGTAATGGCGGATGCCCCACCCCCCACCAAACTCGAGTATCCCAGGTTGACTTCAGACTGCTGTGTTGGCAGTGAGAATTTCACACTAGTGAATCTTAGCTTGCTGGACTCTGTGGGGATGGGATCTACTGAACTAGACCACTTGGCTCCCTGGCTTCAGCCCCCTTTCCAGGGAAGTGAGCAGTTCTGACTCACTGGCATTCCAGGTGCCACTGGGGTATGAAAAACAGACTCCTGCAGCTAGCTCAGTGCCTGCCCAAATGGCTGCCCAGTTTTGTGCTTGAAACTCAGGGCCCTGGTGGTTTAGGCACCCAAGGGAATCGCCTGGTTTGCGGGTTGTGAAGACCATGTGAAAAGCATAGTATCTGGGCCAGAAAGCACCATTCCTCATGGCACAGTCCCTCACAGCTTCCCTTGTCTAGAGGAGGGAGTTCCCCAACCCCTTGCGCTTCCCAAGTGAGGCGATGCCCTACTCTGCTTTGGCTCACCCTCTATGGGCTGCACCCACTGTCTGACCAGTCCAGATGAGATGAGCCAGGTACAGTTGGAAATGCAGAAATCACCCTTTTCTGCATTGATCTCACTGGGAGCTGTAGGTAGTAGTGGTTCCTATTCAGCACTCTTGCCAGCCACCCCTTTCAATTTTTTTCTTAACTTTAGAAGTTACTTTTCCAGTGTATTATCATCTTTGATATAGGTTGATTAAATCAGTATACAACTCTCTTAATACTAAAGCGTACAGAAGACAGAGCAAAAATATGGGAAAGAAAGAAAATAAGAGAATCCACAAACAAGGTCATTATGTTTAACCACCATGATGAAAAAAAAAAACTAACCATTTCAAATATTGTCAGAAAAAGGTGGTTTTGAAGGAAAAACAACTTTTATGTCATCTTACAAAGCATCCGTAGACTTAGTTTTAAAAAATAAAACATAGTTTAAATTGTGGGTTAGTGCAAAACTTCCCAGAAGAATTTAAGTTTGCTTGCAAGCCCAGCTGAGATTAATGTTATTAGAAAAACAAAAGGTATGCCAGGAGGGGCTACATAAAGCCAAAATCAATGTACCTTTCAGGATCAGTCAGAAACAAAACTTTCTGAGCTTGTGCCAGAATTAATGCCAGTCCAAGCACAGACTATGCTGTAGTATTAGTAATTGTAATGATGCCACTTTGAAATGGAAACTTGGAGATAAGTTGGCACGAAGCAAAATGACCGAGTTTTAAAATGCCTGAGGTCCTTAAATGTACTGAAAGCTTCATTAGTAAATGAAAATGAATCCAATAATGAAGTGCTAGTTGGAGATCAGAAACATGCACAGAAGCAGAAACAAAACAGACAGTAACATGTAGAGACATCTCATTTATCTGGCATTGTCAGAGGAAGAGCTTTTCCACTTAAATGAATTATTCAGAAAATTGACATTTGCCCCATTAAGTGCCACAATTATTTTCTGTTTTAACCATTTTAATGGATATTATCCTAAAGTGAATTACATACTTCTATGCCTTATTAAACATGAGGTATTGCATATGAGATAATCATTCTTTGATGACCTAGGGTCAGGGAGATAGATGTAATGGAAAAAGGGTTTGATATTTAGATGAATTTTAAACTGAGTTCACCAGTTACTAAATTTGAATAAGTTACTATTATCTTGGATATTTGCTCTCTGATCTCTAACTATAATTGGAGATTAAAGTATATACTTTGTAATGTATTGTGAGGATCAAAATATTAAGACATTTATAAATTATTAGAATATGGTGGGCATTAAAAAATGTTAGTAACTCTTTTATCATGACAGGATATACAATTAAAAGTTATTGAAATTAATGCAGACACTGTCAACGAGGGCAAAAAGAAGAGGGCTTGAAGTAAATGGCTCATGTTTGAGAAACACATTGGGGAGTCTTTACATATAAGGGGAACCTGTGACAAAAAAAATACTGCTAAATATAGTAAGGAAAGAGAGTAAATAAAATGGGGAGGAAGCAGAGAGGGAGCAGAAAGCTACACAAGAAGATAAAGAATGTTTCATCCATAAATATATACATTTTTTAAAGATGTCTTGATTTTGACAAAATAATTCTTCTCTATCTCTCCATAACTTCAGTAAAATTTGCCACAAATATACAACTACAATGCATGAATGTTATAGCTTGTTTTGGAAAAACTCTCAAATTATGTTCTTATTTGTTTTCACACCACAACAATAAGCACAGACTTCTGTGACCAACTGTGTTAGGAAGCTTTCCCCACTAACAAGCAGTGAACACCAGCTGGGTACCTTTGAATTTAATTCTGACACTATCTATTTGGAGATAGTATCACATCCCACAGGTTGAGGGCTCAGTCCCCAAGATTAACCCTCACCCACTTCAGACACCAGTCACAAGTCCAGAACTTCTGATTGATTAACTTCACTCTGGGGTTCCCACACTCTCTTTTGGTTCAATTAATTTGTTGAAGGAGCTCACAGAATTCAAGGAAACACTTACTTACATTTACCAGTTTATTATACAGGATATTACTTAAGAATACATATGAAGAGATGCGTACGGTGTGGCATGGGGGAAAGGGTGCAGAGCTTCTAAGCCCTTCCTGGGTCCACCTCCCTCCAAAAACCTCCAAGTGTTCAGCTATCCAGAAGCTCTCTGGACCCAGTCCTCTTGGACTTTTATGGAAGCTTCATGATTGCCCTTCCTCCCTAGGATATGGGGGAAGACCCTCTTTGGAGTGAGGGTCTTAAGACCCACAATCAGAAAGGCAGGGAAAATTAGAGTCTTGCCTTGTGGTAGGTTAAATGAGGGCAGGAGAAGGTCAGAGAGATTCTGTTTCCTAAGGCCTGCTCCTGAGACATAAGACGCCCAACATCATAACAAAAAGGATGTAACAAGGCAATGGGAGTCATGAGCCAGGAACTGTGGATGAAAACCTACATCTCTTTCTCTCTATGTATAAAATTTGTGGACATGTTTTGTTGTGTGGTGTTTGTGTATATGCAAGCACCTAGTATGTTTCCAGACGTTAATCTTGTCACTCTTGGCTTTTTAAAATATTACACTTATAAAAACAAACAAACAAATCACCATAATTTGTTGTATATATTTTTTCTCTTTTCTCAGGAGGTCCCTTGCTTGTGTTCACATTTAAATTATTCGGCAGATAATTTCTTAGATCCTGGTTTGTGTGTCATGACTACTTACATATTTCAACAAAGACAGTTTTCTTTTCTCCTGTTTTTCATATTTTGGCCTAGATTTCATGATTTTTGAAAACTAGATGAATAGTAATATGCCTTAGTACCCATAATTAAATTGAACTCTCTCACTATTAATTTCTACTAATTAAAACCGTAGCAAAAAAAATTGCTTAATTTTTGCCTTAAAGTTGCATAACTTATTTCATTCAGGATTCTGTTTCCATTCTGCAAAAGATGCAGAAGGCAAAATAAACATCAAAGACGAAAAAGCAAGAGGGTCCAAAACTTGAAATTAGAACCAATATTATCTATGAGGAATAAGCATATTCTGCAAATTTTTCTATTGATTAAAATTTTCTCCCTCCAGTCATGAACATATTGTATTCCCTTCAGTACTTTAATGATGTGTGTGTGTGTTTGTGTGTGTGTGTGTGGTGAGGGAGGGGATGGTGTGTGTGTGTGTACACTATAAATGTAGGCATATACAATAAATACCTATACAGAGAAAACTTATAGAAATGTAATAAAAATATTCAGTTTTTTGTCTAATGAAACTGCAGATTGTAGAAACATATAATGTGACAAACTAATAAACCAATAGGGTAATTTTGAGGAAATGATTTTAAGAGAAGAATGAATGTCTGACAACTAAAACTTGTGTGTACAAGTTTTAGTTTCTTTTATGTGTTGGCTGATTTTAAAGGAAAGTTCAAGAATTTAGATGAGTCTTATTAGGTTGCTAAATCCATGGAGGACGAAGTTAATGACATTTTAAGTTTTCATAATTACTTTATAATTATGTTCTCAATAAAGCACAAATTAATCAAGATGTGTGCTAACTGAATGGGGGAAAGAAAGGAATGCAACCAGTTTTAAATGATCAATATAACAATTAAACTATGTTTAAAATCTGTATTGTATAATACTCTTTTTAAATAATTTTAGTGAACCTGACTTGCTTATGTATTATAAATAAAGTGCTCTATGTATTTGATTGAAAGAAATGGCTAAACTACTCTTACTAGAAATGACATAGGGATTCAAGGAGTGGCTTCTTTAGGAACCCTCTGTGAATTGTGGCATGTCAAAGAATGTTGACTCTGTGCAAGTGGGAATGTGTTGTTTCAAGAAGAGTCACACTTGTATAAGCACATTGTGAAAGATCTAATTAGAATAAGAACATGCTATGGGAAGGAACTAATGGGATAAAGCTTTCAAAATCAAGTCAAGCAAATTATAAATTATATTAACTAATCAAGTCAAGGAAATATGTTCTCATTGTTTGCATTTTAGGAATACCAGTAGCTAGTTGCTGCATAAGAATTTGGAGCATAGTTAAAAAGTCTTTCTCTTCACATTTTTATATATGCTATAAAACAACCAAATATTTTATATCTTCATATCTTTGTGTAATCTGTTTCTGATCGGATTCTATTACTTCTGCCTTAATAACTTCATTTTTATCCATCTTTATTGAGATATAATTAATAAATATATATAAGGTATACAGTGTGATGTTTTGAGATATATGCATTGTGAAATAATTATCACAATCAAGCTAATTAACATATTAATCACCTCACATAATTACCTTTCCTGTTTTCTGTGTATGTGACTATAGTGAGAAAAGTTAAGATTTTTCTTAGGAAATTTCAAGCATACAACACATTATCGTTATCTATAGTCACCATGCTATTTATTAGGTCTCCAGAACTTACTCATTTGATAAGTGAAAATTTGTATCATTTGACCAATGTCTCTCTATTTCCTCAGCCCCTGGTAACCACACTTCTACCCTATGTTTCTATGACTTCCAGTTGTTTAGATTCCACATGTAAGTGAGATCATACAGTATTTTTCTTCCTGTCTGGTTTATTTCACTTAGCATTATGTGCTCCAGATTCATATACATCATTGCAAATAGCAGAATTTTCTTCTTCTTTTTAGATTGAATATGATTCCATCCTATACATATTTATATATGTACACTGCTGACCCCCACTGCCACACACACACACACACACACACACACACGTATTACAATTTTTAGCCATTCATCTACCAGTAGACACTTAGGTTGTGTCCATAGCTTGGCTACTGTGAATAATGCCTCAATAAATATGGGATTGCAAATTGCATATCTCTCTTTCAGAACATTATTTTATTTCTTTTGAATATATATTCAGAAGCGGGATTGCTGACTCATAAGGTAGTTCCATTTTTAACTTTTTCAGCATTCTTTATATTGTTTTCTATAATGTGTATACCAATTTACATCATAACCAATAGTATATAAGTATTTTCTATTCTCTACATCCTCAACAATACTTGCTGCCTTTTTTTTAATAATACACATTCCAACAGAGTGAGGTGATAAACCATTGTATTAGTCTGTTCTCTCACTGCTAGGAAAAATACCTGAGACTGATAATTTATAAAAAAAAGAGGTTTAATTGGCTCATGGTTCCACAGGCTGTATAGGAAGTATGATTCTGGCATCCTGGCATCTGCTCAGTTTCTAGGGAGGCCTTAGGAACGTACAATCATGGAAGAAGGCAAAGGGCAACCAGGCATGTCTTACATGGCTGGAGCAGGAGCAAAGTTGTTGTGGGGAGGTGCTACACACTTTTAAACAACCAGATCTCATGAGAACTCTATCACAAAGAGATATCCCACAAAAAGGGATGGTGGTAAACCATTCAAGATGCATCCACCCATGTCATCCAATCATCTCCCACCAGGCACCACCACCAATGATGAAGATTAGAATTGAACATGACACTTGAGTGTGGACATAGATTTAAACCATAACATTCTGCACCTGGCTACTTCCAAATCTCATTTCCTCACATTACAACATAAAATTATCCTTTCACAGCAGTCCCCAGAATCTTTACTCATCCCAGCATTAACTCAAAAGTCCAAAGTCCAAAATTTTATCTGATGAAAGGGTAGTCCCTTCTGCCTGTGAGCCTGTAAAATCAAAAAAACAAGTTAGCTACTTCCAAAATACAATGGAGGTATAGGCATTGGGTAAATACTGTCATTCAAAAAACAAACAAACAAACAAACAAAAACCCAGAAATTGGACAAAAGAAAGGGACGACAGGCCCCATGCGAGTCTGGAACCCAGAAGGGCAGCCATTAAACATTAAAGCTCTGAAATAATATACTTTGACTCCATGCCTCCCATCCAGGACACACTGTTGCAAAGGGTTGGCTCCCAAGGCCTTGGGAAGCTCTGTCGCTGTGGCTTTGCAGGGTACAGTGTCTGCATCTGCTCCTTGGATGAGTGTTGTGTGTCTATGGCTCTTCCGGTCTGTGGGTGTGGTATGGTTTGGATGTGTCCCCATCCAAAATCTCACCTTGAATTATAATCTCCATAATCCCCACATGTCAAGGGTAGGACCAGGTAGAGGTAATCAGATAATGGAGGCATTTTGCCCCATGCTGTTCTCATGATATTGAGTGAGTCTCATGAGATCTGATCATTTTATAAGTATCTGGCATTTACACTGTTTGCACTCATTCTCTCTCCTGCTGCCCTGTGAAGAGGTGCCTTCCTTCATGATTGTAAGTTTCCTGAGGCCTCCCCAGCTTCATGGACCTGTGAGTCAATTAAATCTCTTTTTGTTATAAATTACCCAGTCTTGGGTATTTCTTCAAGCAGTGTGAGAACAGCCAAATACAATAAATTGGTACCAAGGTAGTGGGGTGTTGCTGTAAAGATACCCAAAAATGTGGATGTGACTTTGGAACTGGGTAACAGTCAGAGGTTGGAACAGTTCGGAGGACTCAGGAGAAAACAGAAAGATGTGGGAATGTTTGGAACATCCTAGAGACTTGTTGAATGATTTTGACCAAAATGCTGATAGTGATATGGACAGTAAAGTCCAGGCTGAGGTGGTCTCAGATAGAGATAAGGAACTTCTTGGGAACTGGTGCAAAGGTGACTCTCGTTATGCTTTAGCAAAGGGACTGGAAGCATTTTGCCCCTGCCCTAGAGATTTGTGGAACTTTGAACCCAAGAGAGATAATTTAGAATATCTGGTAGAAGAAATTTCTAAGAGGCAAAGCATCAAAAAAAGCAGGGCATAAAACTTTGGAAAATTTGCAGCTTCACAATGCAATAGAAAATAAAACCCCATTTCCTGGGCAGAAATTTATTCCTGCCATAGAAATGTGCATAAGTAACAAGGAGTGGAATGTTAATCACCAAGACAGTGGGAAAAATGTCTCCAGGGCATGTCAGAAAACTTCAGGGCAGCCACTCCATCACAGGCCTGGAGACCTAGGAGGAAAAAATGGTTTTGTGGGCTGGTCCCAGAGCCTTGCCACTTTGTGCGGTCTTGGGAATTGGTGCCCTGCCTTCTAGCTGTGGCTAATGGAGCCAATGTACAACTCAGGCCATTGCTTCAGAGGGTGCATGCTCCTAGTCTTGGTGGCTTTCACATGGTGTTGGGCCTGTGGGTGCACAGATGTCAAGAATTGAAGTTTGGGAGCCTCTGCTTAGATTTCAGAGGATATATGAAAATGCCTGGATATCCAGGCAGAAGTCTTCCGCAGGGGCAGAGCCCTCATGGAGAAGTTCTGCTAGGGCAGTTCAGAAGGGAAATGTGGGGATGTGCCCCCACAAAGAGTCCCCACTGGGGCACTGCCTCGTGGAGCTAGTGCAGAAGAGGGCCACCATGCTCCAGACTCCAGAACGTTAGATCCACCAACAGCTTGCACAGTGCATCTGGAAAAGCCACAGAAACTCAATGCCAGCCTGTGAAAGAAGCCAGGATGGGGGAGTTACCCTGCAAAGCCACTTCAGCAAAGCTGTCCAAGGCTGTGGGAACCCACCTCTTGTATCAGCATGACCTGATGTGAGACATGGAGTCAAAGATCATTTTAGAGCTTTAAGGTTTAATGTCTGCCCTATTGAATTTTGGACATGCATTGGGCCTATAGCCCCATTGTTTGGGCTAATTTCTCCAATTTGGAGTGGTGTATTTACCCAATGTGTGTAACCCCACTGTACTTAGGAAGTACTTAACTTGCTTTTGATTTTGCAGGATTATAGGCAGAAGGGACTTGTCTTATCTCAGATGAAACTTTGGACTTGAAATTTGGGTTAATACTAGAATGAGCTAAGTCTTGGGGGACTGTTGGAAAGACATGATTGTGTTTTGAAATGTGAGGACATGAGATTTTGGAGGAGCCAGGAGTGGAAGGACATGGTCTGGCTGTGTCCCCACCCAAATCTCCTCTTGACTTTTAATCCTCATTATCCCTACATGTCAAGGGTGGGACCAGGTGGAGGTAATTGGATCATGGAAGCAGTTTCCTCCATGCTGTTCCCATAATAGTGAGTGAGTCCCATGAGGTCTGATGGTTTTATAAGTGTCTGGCATTTCCCCTAGTTGCGCTCATTTTCTTTCCGGCCACCCTGAGAAGAGGTGCCTTCTGCCATGATTGTATGTTTCTTGAGGCCTCCCCAGCCATGTGAAACTGTGAGTCAATTCAACGTTTTTCTTTATAAATTACCCAGTCTCAGGAAATACAAGGCAGAAGCTGCTAGTGGTTCTATTATTCTGGAGTCTGGAGAATGATGGTCCTCTTCTCACAGCTCCTCTAGGCAGTGTCCAAGTGGAGACTTTGTGTGGTGGCTCCAACCCCACATTTCCCCTCCACATCACCCTGGTAGTGGTTCTCCTTGAGGGCTCTCCCCCTATAGCAGGCTTCTGCCTGGACATCCAGATTTTTCCATACCTCCTCTGAAATCTAGATGGAGGCCCCCAAGCCTGAACACTTGTACTCTGTGAACTGCAGGCTTCACACCAAGGAAAAGCCACCAAGGCTTATGATTTGCACCATCTGAAGCAGCAGCACAACCTGCACCAGGGTCCCATTGAAACATGGCTGGAGCTGGAGCAGCTGGGATACCAGGAGCAGTGTCCCAAGGCTGCACAGGGCAGCAGGACCCAGGGCCTGTTTCAAAACACCATTCTTCCTTCCCAGGCCTCCAAGCCTGTCATGGTAGGGGGTGCCGTGAAGGTCTCTAAAATGTTTTCAAGGCCATTTCCCCAGTTGGCTCCTTTTAACTTATGCAAATTTTTGCAGCCTGCTTGAATTTCTCCCCTGAAAATGGACTTTTCTATTTTACCACATAACTGGACTGCAAGTTTTTCAAACTTTAACACTCTGGTTTCCCTTTAAATTAAGTTCCTGTTTTATGTCATTTCTTTGCTCACACTATGAGCATAGGTTGTTAGAAACAGGCAACATCTTGAACATTTTGCTGCTTAGAAATTTCTTACACCAGTTACCCTAAATCATTACTCTGAAGTTGGAAGTTTCATGTTCCCTAGAGCAGGAGCACAATGCTGCCAGGTTGTTTGCTGATGTACAACAAAAGTGACCTTTGCTCTAGTTCCCAATAAATTCCTTGTTTTTTTTTTTCTGAGATCTCATCAGCTTCTACTTCATTGTCCACATCACTCTCAGCATTTTGGTCACAACAATTCAACAAGTCTCTAGGAAGTTCCATACTTTCTCTCATCTTCCTGTCTTTTTCTGAGCCCTCAAAAATGTTACCTCTGTCCTTCACCCAGTTCCAAAGCTGCATCCACATTTTCAGGTATCTTTATAGCAATACCCCAATTCTTGTGCAAATTTTCTGTATTAGTTTTTTCTCACACTTCTATAAAGAAATGTCTGAGACTGGATAATTTATAAAGAAAAGAGATTTCATCAGCTCATGGTTTCTTCAGATTGTGTAGGAAACATGATTCTGGCATCTGCTTGGCTTCTTGGGTGGCCTCAGGAAAGTTACAATCAGGGCAGAAAATGAAGGGAAAGCAGGTGTATCTTACATGTCTGGAGCAGGAGCAACAGAGAATTGGGGGTGGGAGGTATGCTATATACTTTTAAACCACTAGATCTGCTGAGATCACTATAATGAGAACAGCACCAAAAGGATGATGCTAAACTATTCATTAAGGATCCACCCCTATGATCCAATCACCTTCGACCAGGCCCCACCTCCAACACTGAAGATTGCAATTGAACATGAGATTTGGCTGGGGACATAGATACAAACCATATTAGCCATTATGGTTTGAATTTGTGTTTTCCTGATAATTAGTGATGCTGAGCAATTTTTCATATACTTTTGGTCATGGATGTGCTTCCTTCTCACAAATGTTTATTCATCTCTTTTGTTTATTTAAAAATAAGGTTATTTATTTTCTTGCTAAACTATTTATGAAGGATCCACCCCTAGTCAGATGTATGGTTTGTAATTTTTTTTCTTATTCCATAGGTTACTGATTGTTTCCTTTGCTGTGCATAAGCTTTTTAGTTTGGAGGAATCCAATTTGTCTATTTTGTTTTTGTTGCCTATACTTTTGGAGCCATTTCCAAAACATCATTGACCACACCAGTGTCAAGGATCTTTCTGCTATTTATTCTTCTAATAGTTTTACAGTTTCAAGTTTATATTTAATTTTTTAAATTCACTTTTAAGTTGATATTTTATATGGTGTGAAATAAGAGTACAATGTTATTCTTCTGCCAGTGGCTATCCAGTTGTTTCAAAACCTTTTGTTAAAGAGACTGTCCTTTCTCCATCTTGTTTTCTCAGCACATTTGACAAAGGTCAAAGGACAATAAGTGCACTCCTGGGTTCTCTATTATGTTCCACAGGACTCTGTCTGTTTTTCTGACAGTACCATTCTGTTTTGATTACAGTAGCGTTGTAGTGTATTTGAAGCCAGGTAGTGTGATATTTTCAGTTTTGTTCTTTTCACTAAAGATTGCTGTGGCTACAGCACCCTTTCTGGTTTCATGTGAATTTTAGTATTTTTTTTCTATTTCTTTGAAAAATATTATTGGAATTTTGATAGGAATAGAATTGAATCTGCAGACTGTTCTGGATAGCATGAACGTTTTAACAATATTAGCCCTTCTGATCCAGAAACACAGGATAGCTTTCCACTTATTTGGGTCTTCTGCAATTTCTTTCATCATTTAATAGTTATCATGGTACAAATAATTTATATTCCTGGTTAAATTTATTCCTAAGTACTCAATTCCTTTTGACGTTATTGTAAATGGGATTGTTCTCTATTTTTTTAAGTGTTTGTTAATAGGGGATAAAAATTTAACTTAATGAATATGTTCATTTAGTATCCTATAACTTTACTATATTTATCTATTGGTTTATTAATTCTATCAGTTTATTTCATAGTCTTGGGTTTTTTTTCTATATATAAGATGATGTTTTCTGCAGGAACAATATTACTTTTTTCCCCCAATTTGGATGTATTTTATTTCTATTCCTTTTCTAATTGCTCTGATTAGAACTTCCAGTACTATATTGATTAAAGGGGCCAGTGGGGACATTCTTGTGTTCCCGATGTTAGAAGTAAAGCATTAATCTTTTCATCTTTAAGTCTAATGTTAGCTGTTGGCTTGTCATATATGGTGTATATTGTGTTGAGGTACATTCCTTTTGTACCTAATTTGGTGAGAGATGAAAGAATGTTGTATTCTGTTAAATTTTTTTTATGCATCTATTGAGACAAACATTTTTTTCCTTAATTATGTTAAATTGATGTGTCACATTGATTGATTTGTGTATGCAGAATCATTTTTGCATCCCTGGAATGATCCCCAATTGATCACAATATATAACGTATAAGGGATAATGTTGTTGAACTCAGTCTGCTTGTATTTTTGTTGTGCAGTATTGCATCTATATTTATCAGGACCAAGAGTTTTTTTTTCTTGTAGTATCTTTCTATAGTTTTTCTGTCAAGGTAATGCTGGCCTTGTAAACTGACTTTTGAAGTATTCCCTTCTCTTTATTTATTTATTTATTGTTTTTTTGGTGGAGATTTTGGAATTATTGGAATTGGTATTAATTCAACTTTAATTGTTTCATAAAATTACCCAATGAAGCCATGTAGTTCTGTTTTTGTTATTGTTGTTTTTGGGAGATTTTTGATTACTGATTTAATATCCTTACTCATTATTGCTATGTTCAGTCTTTCTATTTCTTCATGATTTGGTGTTGTTAGGTTGTATGTTTCTAGGAATTTATCCACTTATTTGAAGTTATCCATTCATAAGATCACTGAAGGGGATCCTTTATATCACTGTGGTATCAGTTATATCTTTTCTTTTATTTCGGATTTTATTTGTTTCTCTTTTTCTCTTAGTTATTCTAAAGTTTTGTTAATTTTATCTTTTAAAAAACTGGCTCTGAATTTTATTGATCATTTCTTATTTTTCTAGCCTCTATTTTCTGCCCTCTCTAGGGCAGGGGCACAATGCCTCCAGTCTCTTTGCTAAAGCATAGCAAGAGTGATCTGACTACAGACTCTGAAACAGCCTTGTAACTTTAGTGCTGGTCTAGTCAGTCTTGCCAACTCAGGAACTGGATAGGTGCCTGCTTGTTCTCACACCTGGTAGCAGGCTCACTGTCTGTGGGCTCAACTGCAGATACAAAAGAGACTCAGTCACATAGTTCCAGCCCTGCTGAATAGTGGTTCCAAAGGCAGTTCAATTTAATTGAATCAGGAAAATAATTCATTATCCAAATGAGAAATTCAACAAAGATATGCTATTAAAAATAAAACAACAACAAAACAGAAATCTTGGAGTTGAATAACTCAATGAATAAAATAGATATACAATTGAGAGATTCAAACTCAGATTAGATCAATCAGAAGAATAAATTTCTGAACTTGAAGACAAGTCTTTTAAAATAACTCATTCAGAGGAAAAAAATTTGAAAAAATGAATACAAAAGGCTGCAGAACTTATGGTACAACATTAAGTAAACAAATATTTGTATTATAGAAATGCTGAAAGAAAATAAGATTAAGAAAGGCACAAAACATCTATTTAACAAAATAATAGCTGAAAACTTTCCAAGCATTGGAAGAGATATTCTTCCAAATTCAGGAGGCTCAAATGTTCCCAGTGAAATTTTACCCAAAGTGATCCTCTCTGAGGCACATTATAATCAAATGGCCAAAAGTCAAAAACAAACAGAATTCTAAAAGCTGCAAGAGAAAAGCATTAGGTCATGTATATAAAGGAATCCCTATAAAACTATTAGCAGATTGCTCAACAGAATTCTTGCAGGCCAGGAAAGACTGGGATGATTTATTCAAAGTGCTGAGAGAAAAAAACCGCAGTCAATAATACTGCATCCAGAAAAGCTATTTTTCACAAATGAATGAGAAATAATGATATGGTTTGGCTGTGTCCCCACCCAAATATCATCTCAAATTGTAATCCAAGTTGTAATCCCCACATGTCAGGGGAGGAACCTGCTGGGTGGTGATTGGATCATGGCGGTGGTATCCCCCATGCTTTTCTTGTGACAGTGAGTGAGTTCTCATGAGTGAGTTCTCATGAGATCTGATGGTTTTAGAAGGAGCTCTTTCTCCCTTCACTTTCTCTCCTGCCACCTTGTGAAGAAGGTACTTGCTTCTCCTTCATCTTCTGCCATGATTGTAAGTTTCCTGAGGCTTCCATGCCATGTGGAACTGTGAGTCAATCAAACCCGTTTCCTTTATAAATTACCCAGTCTCAGGTATTCTTTATAGCAGTGTGAGAATTGACTAATACATTTTTTTTATTTTTTATTTCCTCTGAGTGGGTTATTTTAAAAGACTTGTCTTCAAGTTGAGAAATGTATTCTTCTGATTGATCTAATCTGAGTTTGAATCTCTCAATTGTATATCTAT
Source organism: Homo sapiens (assembly GCF_000001405.40). Classification (NCBI taxonomy): domain Eukaryota; kingdom Metazoa; phylum Chordata; class Mammalia; order Primates; family Hominidae; genus Homo; species Homo sapiens. The sequence continues at coordinate 92,065,371 of NC_000004.12, read as the reverse complement.
TTTATTCATTTAGTTATTCAACTCCAAGTTTTCTGTTTTGTTGTTTTTATTTTAATGGCATATCTCTCTTTGTTGAGTTTCTCATTTGGATAATGAATTATTTTCCTGATTCAATTGAATTGAACTGCGTTTGGAACCACTATTCAGTAGGGCTGGAACTATGTGACTGGGTCTCTTTTGTGTCTGCAGTTGAGTCCACAGGTAGTGAGCCTGTTACCAGGTGTGAGAACAAGTGTGGCACCTATCCGGTTCCTGAGTTGGCAAGACTGACTAGACCAGCAATAACGTTACAAGGCTATTTTAGAGTCTGTAGTCAGAAACTGGTCAGTGGATCTATACCAGGGGCTCAGATGAGCATATTGCCTGTCAATTTCCTTGTGTGGAGGGTTAGTGCTACCCCAGATCACAGCCAAATGGGGCTAGTATTATCAGTGCTGCTTCAAGCTCCAGAGCTGGGACTGACTTTGGGGTTTACAACTAGGACTGAGGTCAACAAGATTGCTCCCAGGGACTTGTAGAGGCATTGCTGGATCCCTGGGTGGGAGGAGAGCAAGGCTGGAGCCGGGTTACAGTATCACTTCCGTATTTGCAGTCAGGACCAGTTGTCAGGCTTGTAAACAGTGTGTTTCCTACCAGATACCTGTGAAGGAAGGATTCACTCTGGACCAGCAGAGTAGGCCTTGAGCCATATCACAGGGCTGCTTTAGAATCCATGGTCAAGTCCATTACTAGTGGACCTGTTACTGGGGCATAGACAAGCATGACTTCTCCTGGTTTCCTTCATCGACGGGGCTAGCTGCAGGACTGCAGCCAAGTAGGGCTCAAGCAAAGTCCACAGAGGGATGGGCTGTTCTTGGTCTACAGCTGGCCCCATGTTTGGTGAGCCTACCATGAAGGTTGGGCCTGCCTTCTTAAAGCAGCTCTCCCTGGAATTTTGCTTCACTGAGATTTTATAATATCCTTCCTGGATCTGAAAGCTCCCAGAAAGGTACTTTTTTCCATCGGTGACTGTTAGATTATTGTTTGTGTTGGACTAGACTAGCTAGGAACTTCCTATTCTGCCATCTTGCTGATAACAGTCTGAACATCTTCTTATAAACTATCTTGGAGGATAGGTCTGTTGTCAATGAAATCAGATTTTCTTTGCCTAAGAAAGTATTTATTTATCTTTCACCTTTGAAGATAATTTTTCTGGATATAGATGTCTAAACTGAACACTTCTTTTTTTTTTTTTTTTTTTTTTTAACTTTGAAGACCTTACTGCATTTTCTTCTTGTTTGCCTGGTTTCTAATGAGAAGTCTGCCATAATTCTTATATTTTTCCCTTGTTGGTACAGTGCCCCCACTATCCCCCAGTCCACCCTTCAATCGCCTTCAAGATTTTGTCTTTTATTTATTTATTTATTTGTTTATTTATTTTTGCAGTTTGGAAATAATATGCCTAGGTCATTTGCTTGTTTTTTTGGTATTTATTTTCTTTGATGTTCTCTGAGCTTGAAGTTCTAGGTTGCTGTCTGTTACTTATTTTGGAAATTTTAAAGCCACTATTTCTTCAAGTACGATTTCTGTGTTCTCACTTTCTTTTCCATTTGGTTTTCAACTATATATGCTGCATCATTGGAGGTTATATTGCAGAATATATGCTTTGCTTTTTTAAAACAATTTTTTGCTTTACATCTCAATTTGTCTAATTTCTATAGCCCTATTTTCAAGTTTACTTACTCTTTCCTTGTCTGTTTGAGTCTACTGATGAGCTCACTGAGCATTTTTATGCCTGTTACAGCATTTTCGATTTCTAATATTTCTGATTATTTCTTATAGATTCCATCTTTGTGCTAAAATTACCTATCTCATCTAGCATGTTTTACTATATTTTCCATTGAACTTCAACACATTAATCATAGTTATTTTAAAATCTGTGTGATAATATCAATATTTGTGTCATAGTCTGATGGTAACAATTCCTTTATTTTTTCTATTTTTTCTTTACTTTTTGTCATTCTTTGCAATTTTGTTGTTGTTGTTGTTGAAAGCTGGGTATGTTGTATGGGTCAGTGAATACTGAGGAATAGGCCTCTAAAGTGGGGATTTATACTAACCTAGTCAGAGGCTGCGCTATTTTTAAAGTATGGTGTTGCTATGCATACTAGAGACCCCAGACTCATATAGTGACCTTATTTGTCTCTCTACTCCTGATTCTGAATCTTCCCTTTCTACCACTCCACAGAAAAAGTGTGCGTTTTACAGATCACCTAGCTAAAAACTCTTGGCATTATTGCTAGAGGCCTATTAATGTGGTAGTAGATGTAGGGGAGGGGAGCATATGATAAGGTTATGAGTAAGTCTCAGTCACTAATGTACACAGTGAGCCTGTATCTTAGTATGACATTCACAAATGTTTCTGTTCTACCTTCATAGGTATAGCTTTTTTAATCCTTCCCCTATTTTGTTCTCAGCTCTGATGACGTCTTCCAGTGTTCTCAGTCTATGTGTTTGAGGTGTCCTTCTTTGCAAACTAATACTTGTGCCTTTTACTTTTAGGTGATATAGTGTTGTAGCTGAATCGTATCACACACAATTCAAATGTTGACACCTTAAGCCCTAGTATCTCTGCAAGTGACTGTATTTGAAACCAGAGCCTTTAAAGACATGTTTAGGTTAAAATGAAGTGTTAGGGTGGGCCCTAATTCAGTCTGACTGGTGTCTATAAGAAAAGAATATTAGGACACCCAAAGAGGCACCATCAAGACTGTAAACACACAGAGAAAAGTCCATGTGAGGACACAGCAAGAAGGCAGCCATCTACAAGCCAAGGGAAGAGGCTGCAGAAGAAACAAAACCTGTAGACGGCCTGATCTTGAACTTTTAGTTTTCAGACCTGTTAGAAAATAAATTTATATTGTTATAACCACCCAGTCTGTGATATATTTTATGGCAACCATAGCAAACCAATACAGACAGGGTAACTGGAGTTTGCTCAAGTTCCCTTCTTCCAACTGAGATGGGACTTGACATGTATCCTCAGGTTGTTCTCTTCCCTCCACAGATTAGTGAGGGAGATGGATCTGGATGGCCATTCTCAATAGGTGACCTTTATCAGCAACCTTCTTCATTCTCTTTGTGACAGCCTGGAGTTTCTCAGAGCAAAAGCCTCTAAAAGAGTGGGAACTAACCCTATGATTGCATCCTCCAAGAGATTCTCATTCTCATACCAGCCCACACTTATCCTCTGAAATTTATCAAAATTTTTAGTTTATTGTCACTTTAAGATGATATGATATTGTATTAGGGTTCTCTAGACGGAAAAAAAATAGGATAGATGTATATATAAAGGAGAGTTTATTAAGGAGTATTGACTCACACAATCACAAGGTAAGGTCCCACAATAGGCTGTCTGCAAGTTGAGGAGCAAGGAAGCCAGTCCAAGTGCCAAAGCTGAAGAACTTGGAGTCTGACGTTTGAGGGCAGGAAGCATCCAGCATGGGAGAAAGATGTAAGCCAGAAGACTAAACCAGTCTAGTCTTTCCATGTTCTTCTGCCTGCTTTAATTCTGGCTGCATTGGCAGCTGATTAGCTTGTGCCCAGATTGAGGATGAGTCTGCCTTTCCCAATCCACTGACTCAAATGTTAATCTCCTTTGGCAACACCCTAACAGACACACCCAGGAACAATACTTTGCATCCTTCAATCCCATCAAATTGACACTCAATATTAACCATCACAGGTACCAAGAGATTTTGTTCCTCAGATAGCAAATGCTTAGCTCCTGTCTCTCCCTGAAGGTGTCTCTCTTACTTTGGGAAGGCCATTTGTCTTATAATATCTATTATTTGATAGTTTCACAAAAAGTCATTAATTTGCTGCATGTTCAGCTTTTTTCTAATATAGGAACGGAAGCTTTCCTTTTTTTAGCTACTTCTTTATACTTAAACTGGAAGTCTTACTAGACTATCTTAAAACATTAACACTACATAAGTAATTAAGCATTGCTTACTCACAAAGACAAATATAATCTTCCTTTGTCTAAGCAGAGTGCAATATTAAAAATAGGAGTACACATTTTATGTAGTGAATATTTTATATTTTTTCAATGTCTAAAATCTACTTACATACCACACCCAGTTTCATTTAGAAAAATTTCTTCTTCCCTCTATTGTCACTAACCAATGCTGATACGGGAGCGGGGCAGGAAACTGCTGGGTAGAGAAAGGTGGGGTCCCTGGTGAGGGCTCCACCCTTGGGCTTGTGCCCATGGACCTAAGTGAGGAAAGGCACTCCTGTTTTTGCACCCAAATGTTGAATTTTCCAAGACTACTCTTACCCACCACTACTGCATCCTGTGCCTATAAAAACCCTGAGACCTTAGTGGGCACAGACACAGGTGGCTGGACATCAAGAGGAACACACTGGTAGAAGAACACACTGACAGACACAGGCAGGCCATTGATGGTGGAATCACGTGGACACTAAGGGACATTTAGCTGAGGGTGGTCGGGGAGAACCTGGCTGCTGAGCGGCCTAACTCCAAGGGAAAACCACCTTCTCACTGCATCCTCTTTCTGCCTCCCTATACATCTTCTGAGAGCCACTTTCACTACTCCATAAAAAACCTTGCACCCATCCTCCCAGTCCATGTGTGATTCCAATTTTTCTGGTACACTAAAGCAAGAGCTCAGGATACAGAAAGCCCTCTGTCCTTGTGATAAGGCAGAGGGTCTAATTGAGCTGATTAACTGTAACACATACCCACTGGGGCTTTAGGGCCTGTAAACACTCAACACTAGACACTGCCTTTGTCTCCTCAGGCTCCCCGTGACCTGCCTTTCTGCATGCTCCCCCTAGGGGTTTGAGCTGTGGGGCACCAAAGAAGTGAGCCACACTCCCATTGAACACCCTACAAGGGGGATAAGAGAACTTTTCCTATTTCAATGGCACATTTTCTATGCTAGATGTTGTAACTTCTGAAAATTGGATAGTGAGCAGAATGACAATGAAATGGTAAATCGTTGGATTTTCAGTTATCACAAAGATATAACTGATCATAATCATCCCTCTAGGACAGTGTTATTTTTTTTCTGTTTTCTGGACCTTATAGATATCTTAGTTTTTATAATTTTGGGTTTGATTTTCTAGTATCCAGTGGATTTTGTGTTTCAAATATCCTTTCTATAGTATCCATTTTGTTTGGCTTGGGTAGAATGAGTTTCTCCTGATTGCAGTCAAATAATCTGATAATTATCTGAAAAAAAATGATAATTATCATATAAGATGCTGCTTTCTGGTTTATTTTATTATAAATGAAAGTTTAGTTTTCCAGTGCATTTGTTTTCCATATTTTGGTTGTTGCACTATAACATTTGAATATGCATAAATTTGCAATGTTCTTAAAGCTTGTTTTTAGATACTAAACATTAAGGGATTGCAATAATTAATTTGTGAAGTGATTCAAGCATGGGCACACTCAGCAGGGGTGACTGAAACTAGGACAGGTGTTCAGCAGTTCAGCCAAATGTACAGTTGGTTGGAACACAACAATCATCTGGGTTGATTGTGAGAGTTAGGTACACATAAGCTGTTAACTTTCCCTGTAGGAGTTCCCCTACTTTCTTAATATGTCCTAGATATTTGACTCTATGAGCCACTGTTATCTCAAGGGTAGTACTGATGACACACTATGGAAGTTGGTTGCAATAACTCAAACATAGATCTACTGAGTATTTAAATAAGAGGTAGAGATAAGTTTTATTCTAGGGTAAATCAATAGTTCCTATTAGTTTGTACATATTATTTTCACATAAAGAAGATATGCTATATAAAACATTTAAACTAATGTTAATATCAAAGAAGAATATATAGCTAACTAAAAAGAAATATTCAAAATGAAAAGAAGCCAAAACACGACTAATTGGCTGACAATTGATCTTCTTCATGCCTACAGTATTAGTTACAGTACAACATAACTTTTGCTTGTAGAACTGCATTCTTCATTTAATCATGTGTCTTAAGTGCAGGAATATATCTTTATATTTGCATCCTCAACACCTCACACTGAGCCTGACATACAATAACTTTATAGTACAGTTTTAAGGAAAAGATAATGGAATAATACTAATTGATAATTATCAAAACTACAAACTAAAGAAAAGGTACTCGACTCACTACTGCCTTTGTACTTTATTTAAAAAAACAAGATTGTTGGTACAAAGTGCTAAGAATGAGGGTCAGTAAAGATTACAGTATTAATCCTTTGTTTCATATCTGGTCTAGGTCTCTTAAGTATCAGCTTCTAAGAATTATAAAGATAAGAAGATAGAAAGGTATGGAGATAATTTATCTTAAATAGATTTTTTCTCAAATTACTTAATTTAAATGCAATTTAAAATTTTTGGTAAGCTAACCAGGCATGGTGGCTTGCATCTGCAATCCCAGATACTTAGGAGGCTGAAGTGAGAGGATCTCCTCAGGCTAGCCTGGGCAATGAGGCAAGACCTCACTTCTAAAAAATGTTTAAAAATTAGCCAGGTATGGTGGCAAGTGCCTGTAGTTCTAGCTTCTTGGGAGGCTGGATGGAAGGGTTGCTTGAGCCCAGAAGTTTGTGGCTGCAGTGAGCTATGATCATACCACCTCTCTCCAGCTTGGGCAACAGAGTGAGACCTCAATCTCAGAAAAAAAAGGTAAGCTGAGTAATGCATGGTAATACAAATATGTATGCATCCAAACACTATCGTTGGACTACATTGCCTTACAAAAGGGACTTTGCAGATGTGATTAATTTAAGAATACCAGGGTGGAATATTATCCTGGATTCCCCTGGTGGGCTATATGTAATCACAAAAGTCCTTGTAACAAGGAGGCAAGAATGTTGGAGAGGTGCAAAAAAAAAAAAAAAAAAAAGGAGTGATAAGGGGATAAGGGACGCAGAGTTTGGAGTAATGTAGGAAGAAATCAGAAGTCATGAAATTTTAGGAGCTGGAAAATCAAATTTCTCTCTGGAGCCTCCAAAAAGAATGCAGCCCTTCTGACACTAAGGTCTTGGCCACATAAAATTCGTTTTTGCATATCTGACTTCCAGAATATCTGAATAATACATTTTTTCATCCTCTCAAGCATTTATCCCTTGAGTTACAAACAATCCAATTACATTCTTTATTTTAAAATATACAATTATTAATGACTATAGACACCTATTATGCTATCAAATAGTAGGTCTTATTTATTCTATTATTTTTGTACCCATTAATCATCCCCATCACCCTTCAAAACCCCTACTCCCTTCTTAGCCACTGGTAACTATCCTACTTTCTGTGTCTGTGAGTACAATGGATTTGATTTTTAGATCCCATAAATAAGTCAGAATATGCAGTGTTTATCTTTCTGTGCCTGGCTTTTTGCACTTAACATAATGATCTCCAGTTGCATTCCAGTTATTGCAAATGATTAGATCTCATTCTTTTTTGTGACTGAATAGTACTCTGTTGTGTATATGTATCACATTTTCTTTATCGATTTATTTGTTGATGGACATATAGGTTGCTTCCAAATCTTAGCTATTGTAAAAGGTGCTGTAACAAACATAGGGTGCAGATATCTATTAGATTTTCTGATTTCTTTTCTTTTGAGTATATATCCAGCAGTGAGATTGCTGAACAAAAGGTAGCTCAATTTGTAGTTTTTTGACAAGCTCCAAAATGTTCTCCACAGTGGTTATACTAATATACATACCCACCAGCAGTGTACAAGGGTTCCCTTTTCTCCATATCATTGCCAGCATTTGTCACGCTTGTCTTTTAGATATAAGGCATTTTAACTAGGGTGAGATAATATCTCACAGTAATTTTGATTTGCATTTCTCTGATGATCAGTGATGTTGTATGCCTTTTCCTAGGCCTGTTTTCTTTTGAGAAATGTCTACTCAAATTTTTTGCCCATTTTATGGATTGGATTATTAGTTTTTTTTTTTTTTTTTCCCATAGAGTCCTTTGAGTTTCTTATGTATTCTGGTTATTAACCCCTTGTCAGATGGGAAGTTTTCAAATATTTTCTCCTATTCTGTGAGTTGTCTCTTTACTTTGTTGTTTGTATCCTTTGCTGTGCAGAAGCTTTTTAGCTTGATGTCATCTCATTTGTCCATGTTTGCTTTGGTTGTCTGTGCTTGTGGGGTATTGCTCAAGAAATCTTTCCTGAGAACAATGTCCTGGAGATTTTCCCTAAAGTTTTCTGGCAGTAGTTTTGTAGTTTCAGGCTTTAGATTTAAATGTTTACTCTGCTTTCATTTGAATTTTGTATATGGCAAGCGACAGGGGTCTAGTTTCATTCTTTTGCATATGGTTATTTAGTTTTCCTAACACCATTTATTGAAGAGACTGTCTTTTCCCCAGTGTATGTTCTTGGCACCTTTGTCAAAAATGAGTTCACTGTAGGTGTGTAGAATTGTTTCTGGATTCTCTATTCTGTTCCATTGGTCTATGTGTCTGTTTTTATGCCAGTGCTATGCTGTTTTAGTTAGTATAGATCTGTAGTATAATTTGAAGTCAAGTAATGTCATTCCTCTAGTTTTTTCTATTGTTTAGAATATCTTATGCTATAAAGGGTCTTTTGTGGTTCTATGTAAATTTCAGGATTTTTTTTCTATTTCTTGGAATAATATCATTGGTAGTTTGATATAAATTGCATTGAATCTGTAAATTGTTTTTGGTAGTATGGATATTTTAACAGTATTGATTCTTCCAATTCATGAACTTGAAATATTTTTTTCATTTTTTTAGTGTTCTTTTCAATGTTCTTCATCAGTGTTTTATAGTTTTTATTATGGAGAGCTTTCACTTCTTTGGTTAAGTTAATTTCTAGGTATTTAATTTTATCTGTGGCTATTGTGAATGGGTTTACATTTTATTTCTTTTTCAGATTATTCACTATTGGCATATAGAAATGCCACTGACTTTTGTATATTGATTTTGTATCCTGCAACTTTACTGAATTTGTTTACCAGTTCTAATAGTTTTTTTGTGGAGTCTTTATTTTTTTTCCAAATAAGATAACATATTATCGGCAAACAACCATAATTTGACTTTTTTCCTTTCAATGTGGATGCCTTTTAGTTTTTTTAATTTTCTGTTTTGAGACAGAGTCTTGCTCTGTTGCTCAGGCTGGAGTGCAGCGGCATGATCTCAGCTCACTGCAGCCTCCACCTCCCAGGTTCAAGTGATTCTCCTGCCTCAGCCTCCTGAGTAGCTGGGATTATAGGTTCCCGCCACCACACCTCTCTATTATTATTTTTTTTTTTTGTATTTTTAGTAGGGATAGGGTTTTATCATGTTGGCCAGGCTGGTCTTGAACTCCTGACCTCAAGCAGCCCGTCCACCTTGGCCTCCTACAGTGTTGAGATTACAGGCATGAGCCACCGCACCCAGTTCATATATTTTTTTCTCTTGTCTGATTGTTCTAGCTAGGACATTCAGTAGTATACTGAATAACAGTGGTGACAGTGGGCATTCTTATCACATTCCGGATCTTAGAGGAAAGCCTTTCAGTTTTTCCCCATTCAGTATGGTACTAGCTGTCTGTCTGTTGTATATGGCTTTTGTTATGTTGAAGTATGTTCCTTCTATACCCAGTTTTTTGAGGGTTATAATTATGAAGGGATCTTGAATTTTATCAATTGCTTTTTTAGCATCATTCATTCTGTTGATATGATGTATCACATTGATTGATTTGCATATGTAGAACCATTCTTGCATCCCAGGGATAAATCTCACTTGGTCATGACGAATGATCTTTTTAATGTATTGTTGAATTTGGTTCACTAGTATTTTATTGAGGATTTTTGCATCAATATTCGTCAGAGATACTGGCCTGTTGTTTGTTTGATGTGTTTTTGTCTGCTTTGGGTATCAGGGTAATATTGTCCTCATAGAATAAGTTCTAAAGTATTCCTTTCTTCTCTATTTTTGGAAGAGTTTGAGTAGGGTTGGTGTTAGTTTTTCTTTAAGTGTTTGGTAGAATTAAACAGTGAAGTCATTGGTTCCAGGGCTTTTCTTTCCTAGGAGACTTTTTATTATGCCTTCCATCTCATTACTTGTGATAGGTCTGTTCAGGTTTTGGATTTCTTCCTGGCTCAATCTTGGTAGGTTGTATGTATCTAGGAATTTGTCTATTTTTTTTTCTAGATTTTCCAATTTATTAACATATAGTTATTCATGGTAGCCACTAACGAGCCTTAGCATTTCTGCAGTATCAGTTGTAATGTCTCCTTTTACATTTCTAATTTTACGTATTTTTATTTTCTCCGTTTTTTGTAATTAGTCTGGTTAAAGGTTTACCAATTTTATTTAACTTTTCAAAAAACCAACTTTTGTTTCATTGATCTTTTGTATTTTTCTCATTTCAATTTCATGTATTTCTGCTCTGATCTTCATTATTTATTTTCTTCTACTAATTTTGGATTTGGTTTTTTCTTTTCTTTTCTGGTTCTTTAAGATGTGTCATTAGGTAGTTCATTTGAAGTTTTCCCTGTTTTTGGATGTAGGCACTTCATAGCTATAAATTTCCCTTTGAGTACTGCGTTTGCTGTATCCCATAGGCTTTGGTATGTTGTGTTTCCATTATTATTTGTTTCAAAAATTTTTCAGTTTTCTTCTTAAGTTCTTCATTAACCCACTGGCCATTTAGGAGCATATTGTTTAATTTCTGTGTATAGTCTGCAAAATTCCTCTTTTCATTACTTTTTGGTTTCTTTCCATTTTGGTCCGAGAAGACGCTTGATGTGATTTTTTTTTTTTTTTTTTTGAATGTTTAAAGACTTGTTTTGTGACCTAACATATGGTCTGTCCTTGAGAATGATCCATGTGCTGAAGAAAAGAATGTGTATTCTGCAGCTTTTGGATGAAATGTTCTGTAAATATCTATTGGATCCGTTTGGTGCATATTGCAGATTAAATCTGATGTTTGTTTATTTTCTGTCTGGAAGATCTTTCCAATCCTGACAGTGGTGTGTTGAAGTCTCCAATTATTATTGTACTGGGGCTTATCTCTCTCTTTAGCTCTAATAATATTTCCTTTATATATCTGGGTTCTCCATTGTTGGGTGCATATACATTTAATTGTTAAGTCTTCTTGCTGAATTAACCCTTTTATTATTATATACCGACTTTCTTTGTTTTCATCTCTTCTTATAGTTTTCTTCTTGACATCTACTTTTTCTGATACAAGTATAGTGACTCCTGCTCTTTTTGTTTTGTTTTGTTTCCATTGGCATGGAATATCTTTTTCCATCCCTTTATTTTCAGTCTATGTGTGTCTTTATAGGTGAAATGTGTTTCTTGTGGGCAACAGATCAATGGGTCTTGTTTTTACATCTATTCAGCCAGTCTATGTCTTTTGTTTGGAGAGTTTAGTCGATTTATGGTCAATGTTATTATTGATAAGTAATGATTTCTCCCAGTTTTTTTTCTGGTTGTTTTGTGGTCTTCTCTTCTTTCTTTCTTTCTTTCTTTCCTTCCTGTTCCCTTCTAGTGATGATGATTTTCTCTGGTGCTATAATTTAGTTTCTTCCTTTTTATTTTTTTGTGTCTATTATATGTTTTTTCATTTTGGGTTACCATGAGATTTCCAAATACTATCTTGTAACCAATTATATTAACCTGATAACAAATTAACACTATTGCATAAACAAATGCACAAAATGATAACTAATAAAAACTCCATGCCTTAACTTCATCCCCACACTTTGTAACTTTTTGTTGTTTTTATTTACATGTTATTGTACTGACTGTCTTGAAACATTGTTGAAGTTATTAGGTTTAATAGATTCATCATTTGGTCTTTCTACTTAGGATAATAGTGGTTTATACACACAGTTGCAGTGTATACACACAGTTGCAGTGTATGATATTCTGCGTTTTTCTGTACTTAACTATTATCAGTGAGTTTTGTTCCTTCAGATGATTATTTATTGCTCATTAATGTTCTTTTCTTTCTGATTGAAGTACTTCGTTTAACATTTCCTGTGGGACAAGACTGGTATTGGTAAAATTCCTCAGCTCTTGTTTTTCTGGGAAAGTCTTTACTTTTCCTTCATGTTTGAGGGACGTTTTCACCAGATTTCTATTCTAGGGTAAAATTTTTCTTTTTCCGCATGAGCACTTTAAATATGTCATGTCACTCTCTCCTGGCCTGTAAGGATTCCCCTGAGAAGTCTGCTGCCATATTATTGTAGCTCCATTGTATGGTTTTTTTTTTTTTTCTTTTCTCTTGCTGATTTTTGGATCCTTTATCCTTCACCTTTGGAAGTTTGATTAGAAAATGCTTTGAGGCAGTCTTCTTTGGGTTAAATCTGCTTGGTGTTCTATAACCTTTTTGTACTTGGATATTAATATCTTTGTCTAGGTTTAGGAAGTTCTCTGTAAAGTTTCTTTTTCTTTCTTTCTTTTCTTTTTTTTTTTGGATGGAGTCTCTCTCTGTTGCCCAGGCTGGAGTGCAGTGGTGTGATCTCAGCTCACTGCAACCTCCACCTGCTGGGTTCAAGCAACTCTCCTGCCTCAGCCTCCTGAGTAGCTGAGACTACAGGCATGCACCACCATGCCCAGGTGGGATTTTTTTTGTATTTTTAGTAGAGACGGGGTTTCATTATGCTGGCCAGGATGGTCTTGAACTCCTGATCTGCCCATTCCGCCAGATCTGCCCACTCGGCCTCCCAAAGTGCTGGGATTACAGGCATGAGCCACCGCACCTGGCCTCTTTGCATAAAATTTCTACCCCATCTCTTTCTTTAACTCCTCTTTAAGGCTAATAACCATTATATTTGTGATTTTGAGGCTATTTTCTAGATCCTGTAGGCATGCTTCATTTTTATTCTTATGTCTTTTGTCTCTTCTGACAGTGAATTTTCAAATAGCCTGTCTTCAGGCTCACTAATTCTCTCTTCTGCTTGATTATCTCTGCTATTAGAGGACTCTGATGCATTCTTCAGTATGCCAAGTGCATTTTTTAGCTCCAGAATTTCTACCTGATTCTTTTCAATTATTTCAATATCTTTGTTAAGTTTGTCTGATAAAATTCGGAATTCCTTCTCTGTGTTATCTTCAATTTCTTTGAATTTCCTCAACAGAGCCATTTTGAATTATCTGTCTAAAATGTCACATATCTCTGTTTCTCAGGATTTGTCCCTGGTATCATATTTAGTTCATTTGATAAGATCATGTTATGCTGGATTTTGTTGATGCTAGTAGATGTTCTTTAGTGTCTGGGCATTGAAGGGCTAGGTATTTATTTTAGTCTTCACTCTCTGGGCTTATTTGTAGCCATCCTCCTTGGGATGGCTTTTTAGATATCCAAAAGGACTTGGATCTTTTGATCTAAGCTGTATCTACTTTAGGGGGCACCAGAAGCATAATAGTGCTGTGGTTTTTTGTAGATTCCTAGAGGTACGTTGATGGTTTTGGACAAAATCTAGAATTCTCTAGATTACCAGGCAGAGATTCTTGCTCCCTTCCCTTACTTTGTTCCAAACATACAGAGTATGTCTCTCTCTTCTGAGCCACCTTAGGCTGGGTGGAGTAACCACTGTGGTTACCACCACTGTGACTGCACTGGGTCAAACTTGAAGCTAGCATAGTGCTTGGTCTTGCCTAAGGCCTGTTATAACCACTCTCTAGCTATTGCCTATGTTTGCTTAAGGTCCTGAAAATCTATAATCAGCAGGTGGCAAAGCCAGTCAGGCCTGTGTTCTTCCCTTCAGGGCAGAGAGGTCCCCCAAGCCCCCCAGTGAGTCCAGAAGTCAGGGACTGAGTCAAAACCTTAGATGTCTACCTGGTGTCCTACTGTATTGTGGCTGAGCTGGCACTCAAACCACATGAAGCAGTCTTTCCCACTCTTCTCTCCCCTTTCCAAAGGAAGAGGACCCTCACCCCACAACCACTACCAACCCAGGCCATGAGGAGTACTGCCAGATGAACTCCAATATTCCCTTAAGGCCCAAGGTCTCTTAAGTCAGCTTGTAAATTCTGCCTGACCAAGGACTCATCTTTCAGGGCAATGGGCTCTGCTCTGGCCCATGGAAGATCCAGAAATGACACCAAAGAGTCAAGCCTTGAGTCTGGGACCTCAAGAGCCTACTTGGTGCTCTGCTACCCTGTAGCTATGCTGGTATCTAAGGTGCAAGACGAAGTCTCCTTTTCTTTTTCTTCTGCTTTTCTCAGGCAGAAGTTTTACCCCTTAGCCACCATAGCTAGTTATGTGCTGAGTCACACCTGAAGCCTGCAAGTCTCAGAGTTTCAACAAGGCCCTCAATGTTGTACCTGAGTGCTGGTTGTTCGGGGCCCAAGGGCTCTTCAGTTAGCAGGTTATGAATGTTGACAGGACTGTGTCTTTTCCTTCAAGGCAGTGGGTTCCCTTTTGGCACAGGGTGTGTCTAGAAATGCCATCTAGAATCTAGGGCCTGGAATGGGGACCTCACGAGTCTGACTGGTGCCCTATCCTGCTGTGGCTGGACTGGTGTTCAGATGCAGACACAGTCCTCCCTCTCCTCTTTCCTCTCCACTTCTCAAGCAGAAGGAAGGGGTCTCTTTTGGAGCCCAGAGCTGTGCAGTACTGCAGATGCCAGCACTCCTTTGGCTGCCTCTGATGGTGTCTCAGTCTGTGACATGTCCCCCAGTCCATTGTTCCTGAGCCTAATTCAGCTCTAGGACTCACCTAAGAGTTGTAGTCCTTGTGGCCTAGACTGCCTTTTAAGTTTACGTGGAGACACGGAGTGCCATAGCCCTCAGTGGCAAGGTTTGCAGACACTCAAGTTCAGACGGCTGGGATCAGTGGTTCCTGTCTGGCTAGGGCTGATTTAAATGCTCCCTCTCTGGATGGGCATCAGATGAGTTTGATCTGGTTTTCTGCTCGAACAGGGTAGCACTGAGTTTTCTGCCTCACAATTGCTGTTTTCTCCTTCCCCCAGCACCCAGAGATGCTCTCTGCACCAAACCATTATTGCTGCGGGTGGAGGCGGGGTGGCTTGGTGATTCAGGACTGTTTTCTAATCTCTTCAGTGCCTCTTTCAGCAATATGAAGTTAAAACTAGGTACTATGAGTGCTCACCTAATTTTTGGTTCTTATGAAGGTTGTTTTGTTTTGTTTTTTTTTCCTGTGTAGATAACTGTTTA
Source organism: Homo sapiens (assembly GCF_000001405.40). Taxonomy (NCBI): domain Eukaryota; kingdom Metazoa; phylum Chordata; class Mammalia; order Primates; family Hominidae; genus Homo; species Homo sapiens. The sequence goes on along the minus strand of NC_000004.12, from coordinate 92,050,225 downwards.
CTTGGTGTCCCTGTAGGGGGTGGTAGGGGTGGCAACCAATGGAACTTTCTATTCTGCCATCTTGCTCTGACCTCCAGGTATTTTAGGTCAGTAAGTGTGTGGCAGATCCTTATAGCAACAATAGGAAACTAGTAACTGAATAATCGATGACAGAAGTCCTAAGTGTTGTTTTATAGTTACTACTATTTAATACCCTGAACTGTGCAAAACAACATTGTTATTTACTTCAGGGTACTAAAATGACACCAATATGTAATGGTAATTTTATGGTTATTAGCATTTTATAATAATAGAAATGCCAACCCATAAGGTAAAAAAAAATTAAATTACAGTTTTCAAATCACTGGAATAAGGAAATTTCCTAGAAATTTCAGAAAGAAATATTGCTCATGCTATTTTAACAAATTACGTATTAAATAACCTATAGAGAATTAGACCGCTTTTATTTTAAGTCTTTCATTTAATTCAGTGTTGCATGAGACAACGAAAATATTTTTCAGAAACATAAAAAAGTGGCAATTTTAGAAAAAACTATATTCTCATTAGAAATTCTAAACTTAAAAATATATAAATAATGACATCATGTGATATCATCAATGACAGATGTATAAATAAGTTAAATGGGAAAAGAGAATTTTCTCAAAGAGGCCCATAATGATTTACTGAAGGAGGTAATGCCCTTGTACCTATGTTAACAAAATAAATTGGGTGTCTCTAGTTTATTGTTTTTCTCCTATTTCTATCTACCTTTTAGATATATGTACTTTAATGTTCCAAAAAGGCCTCTAGTTTATCTTTTGCAAATCTGAACTCATCCTCTGTTGAAAGAACCCTGTTTCTCCAACTGCACTTTCTCTCTCTTTTAATGGTACCTACATTCACCCATTTTCCCGGGCACTAAATCCAGAAACCATACTTGGTTTTAATGACATGATATACTATCCATGTTTATAGCATGAAAATCAGTATCCCAATGCAGAATTTTTGTCTGACCTTCAGACACATATTATATATCTTCCAAATATCACCCTTAGATTGCCTAGTCACTCACCTTCAGTAACACAGCTATCAAATCTGCATTCATTCTGTCTTCTGGTTCTTATTGAATTTTACTAGATGTTGTTAGGAAATGTTTTAATAATTTCAGGACATTAGGGTCAGAAGCTGAGAATGCTTTTAGAAATCAGTTCTACCAGTTTTCCCTGCTTAGGAATTGAGATACAAAGAACACAAGCAGAAATCAAGTTAAAGACCACATTATTATTAAGAGTAAGCCTGGCCATGTGAATTGTAAAAATTAAATTAGAGGATGTGTTTTACAGAGCAAACCTCAACAAAGTCCCTTTTTCTACTGCAATATTTTTCTCCTTTTCCCTCAAGCTCCTTAACTGATTTAGAGTGAATTCTACTTGCCTGCAAGCCCATCTCATGACCATAGAACTTACAATAAGCTTTTTTAAGCCAGAGATCATTGTTATTTGAGGAAACATCAAATGTGCCACAGAGAAACCAAAAAGTCATAAAAAGAAAGGATTTAGAGCAAACAGTCAATGCAGAGGGCAGAAAATAACTTAAAATATATCACTAATGATTCCAAAGAAATGGGAAATAGTGTGTTCAAGCAACAAGGACAGGATATTATTAAAAGAAAATTCAGAGATTAAAAAAGAAATATTGTGAACAGAAAATGAAAAAAATGAACATATAAGATTTAATATTCATTCAACAATTATACCTCAAGTATTTGTACACTTACTGTGGCATAGATTCTGTTCTCAAAAATTGAGATATATGAATAAACAAAACTAATTAAAATCCCTAACTTCATGGAACTTAAATTTTGGCAAGCAAAATTAGAATATGAAATGCATTTGATGATGTATTCTAGAAAATATTGTTATAGCAACAAAGTCAATTGGAATATGGGAGAGAAGTGATAAGAAAATCAAAGAATCAATCTAGAAGTTTCAGTATATATGTAACAGACATTCCAGAAAGAAGCAAACATAGTAAGGAATGGAGAAATATATCAAATAATCATAACTGGACATTTCCTAAAATTAAAGAAATTGTATTTATAGATTGGAAGGGTCATTGATTACTGAGCACAGTGAATGAAAACTGACCCACACTAATAGATACTGTAATATCACATAAAATATCAGAACACTAAAGGAGAGGGATAATTTTGCCCAGAACACACTTATTAGATACTCAGCAAATATTTCTTGAGTGTAAATAAAAAAGGTCTAATAATCTAAAGTGGGGGGAAAGTCCTCCCACAATAAAGAGCTGAAAATCAGAATGCCACCAAACTTTTAACAGCAACACTGAAACCTAGAAAACAGTGAAGAAATGCTCCCAAAAATCTGAATGTTTTAAAATATCAGGTTCTGTATTCAGCTATGTCAGTTATCAGTTTATTAGTGCTCAGATCTCTTTATTCCCCTGATAAACAATGGAATTTCTGCTTTTCAGTGAACACAATGTTAAGTTTCTCCTGTTGAGGGCAGTGGAGGAATATTGCAAGAAGAAACTCTCATGCCTTTTCCTGCTGTGGCAAGGGGAGGCCTTAGGGATGTGTGTGTGTGTATATGAGAGGGGGAGAGAGAGAGAGAGTGAGAGAGAGTGTGTGTGTGTGTGTATGCGTCTGGTGGAGCTCTGCCCAGAACAGTCTCTCTGTAATGGTGCAGCATCAGCCTGATGATAACATTTCTGTGGCCTTCTCAACATGAAAACTGGTGCCTTGACTCCCTTTGCATATTCCTGCACCTCTTTACATACTCCAGTGCTGATCACCTATTACTCATTGCTCCCACCTGAACTCTGACAGGTTAGCTGCTCCTTGCCCAGTGAATGCAGACTGGAAACAGCCTGCGCAAACCCACATACCTCTATGCTATCCCCTGACCTGAACTATCACTTCCCTAAGGAAGTCTAAATCCTTTTTAAGTTCCTTCTTTTTATGCACTCTCCTTCAGTCATAGCACCATATACAGTTCCTTTATATCTTTGCCAATTTATTAATTCTATATATCTGTAGTTTCTTTCTCCTAATAGGACTAGTAATCAAGAGTGAGGATAAAATAAAAGCATTTTCAGCCTTTCAAAACTCCAAAAACCCTCAGATGCAAACCTGTATACCAGAAGCTTCTAAATATATAAATGAGGAATTAAACCAAGGCAAAGGAAAACATGCAGTTCAGGAAATAATGGATCTAACGCAGAGGCAAGAGGAAGGAAATTTTCAGAAAAAACGTAAAGGAAAATTGTAAAATAAATCCAAAGGAAGCCAAGAGAACAACCAGTCTAGAGAAACAAGACACATGGTTCTAGAAGCAATATTCAAACAACAACAAAAACAAAATTGGGGATTGACTTCTGTGTTTAAATTGTATTAAGAGTTATTGAAATTTAGTAGTAGGGCTGAGGTAAGAATTAATGATAGGCACATAGAATATTAAGGAAAAAGGTAATTATTAACTCTAAGGAAATGTAAAAATAAAGAAATATAATGAACATGGGTATAAAATATGGTTTAATAGAATAAAAAAGACCTAGTGTTTGATAGATCAATAGAGTCACAATAATTTACAGTAATCTATTGTATATTCCAAAATAGCTAGAAGAGAATAACTGGAATGTTTCTAGCATAAAGAAAGGATGAATATTTAAGGTGATGGATTTTCCAAGTACACTGGTTTTAAGGGAAGAGACCACCCCTCATATTGTCTTATGCCTAATTTCTGTCTCCAAAGAAAGAAGAAATAAAAACTAAAAGGCAGAAATGAAATCCACAGGCAGACAGTCCGACGCCATACCCTGCACCTGGTAGTTAAAGATCGACCCCTGACCTAATTGGTTATGTTGTCTATAGATTACAGACATTGTATGGAAAAGCACTGTGAAAATCCCTGTCCTGTTCTGTTTCATTCTAATTATTGGTGCATGCAGTCCCCAGTCAGGTACCTCTTGCTTGCTCAATCGATCACGACCCTCTCACGTGGACCCCCTTAGAGTTGTAAGCCCTTAAGAGGGACAGAAATTGCTCACTCAGGGAGCTCCGTATTTGAGAAGTGAGTCTTGCCGATGCTCCCAGCCGAGTAATGCCCTTCCTTCTTTAACTCGGTGTCTGAGGGGTTTTGTCTGCGACTCGTCCTGCTACATTTCTTGGTTCCCTGACCAGGAAGTGAGGTGATTAACCTACGGTCGAGACAGCCCCTTAGGCGGCTGAGGCCTGCCCTGTGGAGCATCCCTGTGGGGCATTCTGGCCAGCTTGAGTGACGTGGATCCTGAGAGCGCTCCCAGGTAGGCATTTGCCTTGGTGGAACACCTCACCAGAGCAGTGTGTCCGGCCCCCGCGGAGGATCAACACAGTGGCTGAACACCGGGAACAAACTGGCACTTGGAGTCCAGACATCTGAAACTTGGTAAGACTGGTCTTTGGAACTTATCCACTCCATTTGAGTGGAAGCATGGCCTGACCACCCATGATGTGACTGTACCGGCCTTTGGTTTTTGTTTTTGACTTGACTTGGATTGCTTGATACTTTGGTTTTGGTTTTGGCTTGGATTTCTTGATACTTTGATTTTGGTTTTGATTCTGGTTTGGTGTAAACTATAAAAGTGTGTGGCCAGGCGCGGTGGCTCACGCCTGTAATCCCAGCACTTTGGGAAGCCGAGGCAAGCAGATCATGAGGTCAGGAGATCGAGACCATCCTTGCTAACACGGTGAAACACCATCTCTACTAAAAATACAAAAAATTAGCCGGGCATGGTGGTGGGTGCCTGTAGTCCCAGCTACTCAGGAGGCTGAGGCAGGAGAATGGCATGAACCCGGGAGGCAGAGGTTGCAGTGAGCTGAGATCGCACCACTGCACTCCAGCCTGGGTGACAAGGCAAGACTCCATCTCAAAAAAAAAAAAAAAAAAAAAAAGTGTGTGTGTGCCCTTTTTACCCGTTCTTTGTTTTGTGGTGTGTGTGTGGTGTGAGCGTGGTGTTTTGTCTCAAGAAAGCATGGGTCAGGCACAGGGTAAGCCCACCCTACTAGGAACTATGCTGAAAAATTTCAAGAAATAATTTAAGGGATATTACGGTGTTACTATGACACCAGGAAAACTTAGCACTTTGTGTGAAATAGACTGGCCAGCATTAGAGGTGGGTTGGCCATCAGAAGGAAGCCTGGACAGGTCCCTTGTTTCAAACGTATGGCACAAGGTAACCTGTACGTCAGGGCACCCAGACCAGTTCCTGTACATAGACACTTGGTTATAGCTGGTTTTAGTCACCCACACCCCCGCCCCAACAGTGGTTAAGAGAACAGCAGCATAAGCAGCTGGCAGAGGCAAGGAAAGACCAGCAGAGAGAGAGAGAGAGGAAAGAGACAGAGAGGAAAAGAGGCAAAGAGAGAGAGAGGAAGAGACAGAAAGGAAGAGACAGAAAGACAAAGAGGGAGTCAAGGAAAAAGAGAGAGAGAAAAAGAGGAAAAGACAGAGGCAAAAGGAAAGTCAAAAAGAGAGAGAGACAGAAAGTCAAAGAAAGAAAGAAAGAAAAAGAGAAATATACAAGTGGTTAAAAAAAAAAGTGTACCCTATTCCTTTAAAAGCCAGGGTAAATTTAAAACCTATAATTGATAATGGAAAGTATTATCCATAACCCTATAACACTCCAATACCACTTTGTTGTCAGTGTAAACAAGGACGTATCCCAAAAGCACTGAGGCCACTGATAACCTGCACCCTTCCTATAAAAAATCCTTAACCCAGTAACCTGTGGATGGCCCAGATGCATTCAGTCTGTAGCGGCAACTGCTTTGCTAACAGAAGAAAGTAAAAAAAAAATAACTTTTAGAGGAAACCTCATTGTGAGCACACCTCACCAGTTCAGAAGATGATTTAACATTAGCCTCTGAAAATTCCCTTAACCCAGAAGCTTTCCTAACAGGGCATCTAAATCTTAATTACCATACAAAGTTCCGACCAGACCTAGGAGGAACTCCCTTCAGGACTGGACAATCGATGGTTCCTCCCGAGTAATTGAAGTAAAAAAATAAAAGCCATCTATACCACTTCTAAGTTAATTTGGACAAAACAAGGTCTTATTAATAGCAAAGGATAATTAAAACCCCAAACTTACAAGGTTTTCAACAAAAGTAAAGTTTGCTAAAACTTAACATGGTAACATGTATTATAGTATCTTCTAATCTTGTGGCCTTAGACAGTCTATTGCACAGACATAAAGGAAGTTCGCTTTGGAAAAGAATGGTTATCATCTTCGAAAAAAAGGGGAAAAAAGGGGGGGCATAATTTATGTAAAAATAGTGTTATATGGTAAATTCTTTTCCTGAAATAAATTAACTGGTTGTTTAAAGAAAGAAATGTTTGTAATAAGTCAGAAAGTTGAGGCATGTCAAAGAACTGTCTGCAAAAGTCGTGAAAGAGAAAAATGTCATAAAAAAAGAATTTATGCAAGAAATGTAGTATAATTTAAAAGTAACTAGGCTCCCTGAATGTAAAACTTGAAAAAAAAAAACAGTTTATGTGCAAGGTGTATAAGAAAAGTAAAATATAACTTTGGTAAAAGGATTATAAGAAGGCATAAGAATATAAATTTTTACCTACATTAAAAGGTTAAAAAAATTATTGTTCTGAAGGTTTAAGCAAGTTTTAAAACGTTAATTGCAAAGAAAATTCTGTGTGTAAACATATTAGCTAAAGTTAGAGGGGTATCATCCAGTTTTTCTGTGAACTGGACATTAAAGTAAAAACACAACGGGTTTTTCTTAAAGCACTAACCTGCTCTTTAACAAAGATTATAAAAGGTTAAAAAGAGTCTATAAAAATCTTACCTTATGTTCCAACATTAAAAATTGAATAAATATGTCTACAAAGTTTTATTAAAACTAAGTTTAACATTAATAACACACTGATATAAAGGTGAAATTTAGCTTATCTGGTATAAAAATCATACAGGAAGCATTGTTAAATGTAAAATGGTGTTTGGCTTCTTTGGTCCAAAAACTAATAAAAATAGGTGCTAAAGGAAATTTCTCAGTAGAAAGGCACCAGGGATTATAAAGTCCACTGCTGATGCCCCCGCATTTAAAACAAAAGGTCAGTTTCTTAGAAATTATATACTTGGTTTATCTTCCACTTTCCTTTCCCTCAAAACTAAAAGTCTTTTAAGCACATGTACCACCCCTAGAATTTCTAGTAAACCAACACCAGCCTGAAGATCATGTTCTCATCAAAGGGTGAAAAGAGAGAAAACTCGAGCCAGCCTAGGATGGACCCTACCTTGTGCTGCTAACCACTGAGACTGCTGTTCATACAGCAAAAAAGGATGGGCTCATCACACCTGAGTCAAGAAAGCGCCACCCCCTCCAGAGTCGTGGGCCACAGTCCCAGGGGAAAACGCTACCAAACTAAAGCTGAGAAAAATTTAACTCTTTCATCTATTCTATTACTCTTTCTTCTTTCCTCACTCTATTGCTGACCTTCTAGTTATTAACATAACCAAGTCAATTTTGCCTCAAACTATTGCATTTAATGCTTGCCTTGTTATACCCTGTGGGGACTTACCAAGTCAAAGACAGCTCTCTACTTCAGAAAAGTACCTCTGTCCCTCCTGACTCTCCTCAGACTGGGCATTAGTAAATTAGGACCATTTAATCCGGGGAAATTTCAAAAAAGACTCCAGCGTCAACCAGGAGTCTTGCTCCCTGATGTAGAGCTCTTATGCCGTAGTTGGTCCAACATTCTGTGGACCACTTAAGAGCAAGGATGGACTGCCCCAACCGGTTTTTGTGATTTTCTAAAATCATACATTCATTTTACTAGAGAATCATAGAAGTTAAAGACTTAAAACAAACTTTGGCAATTAAAGCAGGATACCAAGATGCAAATGCCTGGTTGGAATGGATCAAATATTCCATCCACACATTAAACAAAAGCAATTGTTATGCTTGTGCACATAGCAGGCCAGAGGCCCAGATTGTCCCCTTTCCACTAAGGTGGTCCTCCAGTCGACCAGGCATGGGCTGCATGGTAGCTCTTTTCCAGGATTCTACAGCCTGGAGTAATAAGTCGTGCCAAGCTCTGCTATATCCCAAAGTCCGACACCCTGCAGGTCAGCCCCCGAGGGCCATCCAGCCTCTGACTCTCAACACTAAGTTCACTTCATGACTCTTATGACAGGGAGGAAACTTAGTGGTCCTTGGAGACCTGAAGGGATGCAGTGAGCTTAAGAATTTTCAAGAGCTTATCAATCAGTCAGCCCTTGTTCATCCCCGAGCGGATGTGTGGTGGTATTGTGGTGGACCTTTCCTGGGCACCCTGCTGAATAACTGGAGTGGCACTTGTACTTTAGTCCAATTGGCTATCCCTTTCACCCTGGCATTTCATCAACCAGAGGGAGGAAAAATAAGACATCATAAAGTGAGAGAAGCCCCTTATGGGTCTTTTGACTCTCACTTCTATTTAGACGCGATTGGAGTCCCACGGGGAATACCAGATCAATTTAAAGCTTGAAATCAAATAGCTACAGGATTTGAGTCAATATTTTGGTTGGTGACAGTTAATAAAAATGTAAATTGGTTAAACTACATCTATTACAACCAACAGCAACAAGCTTTTCATAAGTTAAAAGAAAAACTCATGTCGGCCCCAGCCCTGGGACTACCTGACCTGAAAAAACCCTTTACACTCTATGTGTCAAAAAGAAAAAAAATGGCAGTTAGAGTTTTAACCCAGACTGTGGGGCCCTGGCCAAGGCCAGTGGCCTATCTCTCAAAACAACTAGATGGGGTTTCCAAAGTCTGGCCCCCATGTCTAAGGGCCCTGGCAGCAATGGCCCTGTTAGCATAAGAAGCAGATAAACTAGCCCTTGGGCAAAACCTAAATATAAAAGCCCCCCATGCTATGGTAACTTTGATGAATACCGAAGGACATCATTGGTTAACAAATGCTAGATTAACCAAGTACCAAAGCTTGCTATGTGTGAAGTTTGCAACACCCTAAACCCTGCCGCCTTGCTCCCGGTATCAGAGAGCCCAGTTGAACATAACTGTGTAGAGGTATTGGACTCAGTTTATTCTAGTGGGCCCAACCTTCAAGACCATCCTTGAACATCAGTAGACTGTGAGCTGTATGTGGGCGGGAGCAGCTTTGCCAACCCCTGCATTGTGACTCTGAAGATGACAAGCCCTGCTCTGGTCACACCCGGAACCTGACTGGTCCACACATGGCCAAAGCATGAGAAAACTCATCACGGGACTCGTTTTCCTTAAAATTTGAACTGTACAATAAGGACGTCAACTGACCTTCCTCAGACTGAGGACTGTTCCCAGTGTATACATCAAGTCACTGAGGTAGGACAAAAAATTGCTGCAGTCCTATTATTTTATGGTTATTATAAGTGTACCGGGACTCTAAAAAGAACTTGTTTGTATAATGCTATTCTATACAAGGTATGTAGCCCAGGAAATGACCAACCCGATGTGTGTTATGACCCATCTGAACCTCCCATGACCACAGTTTTTGAAATAAGATTAAGGACTGAGGACTGGTGGGGGCTCATAAACAATATGAGTAAAGTGTTAGCCAAAACAAGAGAAAAAGGTGTGCCCAAACAAGTCACCTTGAAGTTTGATCCCTGTGCTGTCATTAATAGTAATAAGTTAGGAATAGGATGTGGTTCTCTTAATTAGGAAAGAGGTTATATGGCAGAAAATAAGTACATTTGTCATGAATTAGGACTGTGTGGAAATCAATGTGGATACTGGTCTTTTGTCATTTAGGCTACTTCAATAAAAAATGAAAAGGATCCTGTCCACCTTCAGAAAGTGAAAAGTGGCCCTTCTGGTACCAGTGGTCAGTGTAACCCCTTAGAACTAGTAATAACCAACCCCCTTGATCCTCACTGGAAAAAAAGGGGAGCGTGTAACCCTAGGAATCATTGGGGCTGGAATGGATCCTCAAGTAAATATTGTGGTTTGAGAAGTTTATAAACACTCTCCTGAACCAGTATTTCAAATCTTCTATGATGAACTGAATGTGCCTGTACCAGAAATTCCAGGAAAAACAAGAAATTTGTTTTAAGGTGAACATGTAGCTCAGTCTCTCAATGTCACCTCATGTTATGTATGTGGAGGAACTGTAATGGGAGATCAATGGCCATGGGAAGCCTGAGAATTAGTACCTACAGACCCAGTTCCTGATGAATTCCGAGCTCAAAAGAATCACCCTGATAACTTCTGGGTCCTAAAAGCCTCAATCATTAGACAATATTGTATAGCAAGAGTGGGGAAGGACTTCACCCTTCCTGTGAGAAGATTCAGCTGCCTTGGGCAAAAACTGTATAATAGTACCACAAAAACAGCCACCTAGTGGAGTTCAAACCACACTAAGAAAAATCCATTTAGTAAATTCCCAAAGTTGCAAATCATGTGGACGCACTCAGAGTCCCACTGGGACTGGACAGCCCCCACTGGATTATACTGGATATGTGGGCATAGAGCTTACACCAGATTACCTGACCAGTGGGCAGGTAGTTGTGTTATTGGTACTATTAAACCGTCTTTCTTCCTACTGCCCATAGAGACAGGTGAACTCCTGGGCTTCCCTGTCTGTGCTTCCTGTGAAAAGAGAAGCATAGCTATAGGAAATTGGAAAGATGATGAATGGCCCTCTGAAAGAATCATACAATATTATGGGCCTGGTACTTGGGCACAAGATGGCTCATGGGGATACTGCACCCCCATTTACATGCTCAACTGAATCATACAGTTACAAGCTGTCTTAGAAATAATCACTAATAAGACTGGCAAAGCCTTGACTATTCTGGCCCAGCAAGAAACTCAGACAAGAAATGCTATCTATCAAAATAGATTGGCTCTCAACTACTTGCTAGCAGCTGAAGGAGGGGTCTGTAGGAAATTTAACCTTACTAATTGCTGTCTACACATAGTTGATCAAGGGCAAGTAGTTGAAGACATAGTTAAAGATATGACAAAACTGGCACATGTGCCTGTGCAAATGTGGCATGGATTTGAACCTGGGCCCATGTTTGGAAAATGGTTCCCAGCACTAGGAGGATTTAAAACTTTTATAATAGGAGTCATAATCATAATAGGAACCTGCTTACTGCTCCCTTGTTTGCTACCTGTACTTCCTCAATTGATAGAAAGCTTCATTGCTACCTTAGTTCACCAAAATGCTTTAGCACAAGTGTACTATATGAATCACTATCAATCTGTCTTGCAAGAAGACATGGGTAGTGAGAATGAAAGTGAGAACTCCCACTAATGAGTGAAGTTCTCAAAGAGGGGGAATAAAGGAGGAGACCACCCCTCATATTGTCTTATGCCTAATTTCTGCCTCCAAAGAAAGAAGAAATAAAAACTAAAAGGCAGAAATAAAATCCACAGGCAGACAGCCCGGCACCACACCCTGGGCCTGGTAGTTAAAGATCAACCCCTGACCTAATCAGTTATGTTATCTATAGATTACAGACATTATATGGAAAAGCACTGTGAAAATCTCTGTTCTGTTCTGTTCTGTTCTGTTCTAATTACTGGTGCATGCATCAGCCAGTCATGTACCCCCTACTTGCTCAATCGATCACGACCCTCTCATGCAGACCCCCTTGGAGTTGTAAGCCCTTAGGAGGGACAGGAATTGCTCACTCAGGGAGCTCAGTTTTTGAGATGTGAGTCTTGCCAATGCTCCTGACCGAATAAAGCCCTTCCTTCTTTAACTCGGTGTCTGAGGGCTTTTGTCTGCAGCTCGTCCTGCTACAGTTTGATCTCTATAAATATATGAATGTATTAAATTATCACATGTACCCCAAAACTTTGTACAATAAAAAAGCATAACAATCTTTTAAAAATAAATAAAGAGAAATATCTTTAAAATAAATATAATTATAACACTCTGGATCTGAACTGTAAAAAAATATTTATCATTGATAATAAAAACACAAATATTGATTTAATAAAAAATTACATATATTTGACATGGTTTGGCTGTGTCCCCACCCAAATTTCATATTGAATTGTAACTACCATAATTCCCACATGTTGTGAGAGGGAACTGGTGGGCGGTAATTGAATCATGGGGGTGGGTTTTTCCCGTGATGTTCTTGTGATTGTAAGTCTCATGAAACATGATGGTTTTATAAAGGGCAGTTCCCCTGCAGACACTCTCTTGCCTGCCACCATGTAAGACATGACTTTGTTCCTCCTTCACTTTCTGCCATGACTGGGGGCCTCCGCAGTCATGCTGAACTGTGAGTCAATTAAACCTCTTTTCTTTATAAATTAACCAGCCTTGGGTGTGAAAGGAAAATATATAGGTCCCTAAAATCACTAAGCTAAAAGGAAAATTTAAGCTGGGAACTGCTTAGGGCAAACCTGCGTCCCATTCTATTCAAAGCCATCGATCTGCTCACTGGGATCACTGCATATATGATTGTCTCCTTTTGAAAGGCTCATCAGAACCTCAAAAGAATGCAACCATTTGTCTCTCACCTACCTGTGACCTGGAATCCCCTCCCTGCTTTGAGTTGTCCTGCCTTTCCAGACTAAACCAATGTTCATTTTACATGTATTGATTGATGTCTTATGTCTCCCTAAAATATATAAAATCAAGCTGTGCTCTGACCACCTTGGGCGCATGTTGTCAGGACCTCCTGTGGCTTTGTCATGGGTGTGCATCTCAATCTTGGCAAATAAACTTTCTAAATTAACTGAGACCTGTTTCAATTTTTGGGGGTTTTGCATTTGGTAACCATGAAGGGATTCTGAGTGGAGATGCCCCTGACCTTTAACAAATCTCCTATCAGTGCTTGCTACCATCATGAGCTAACTTTATGGCTCAAACCAATAGGACAGTTTACTGAGGTCTGAGAGCACCTCCTCCAGAGAATCCCTGATCTCCCAAAACTTGGACATGATCTAAAGTTTATTTTGCTGTACAACTCCTCTTTTGTTTAGAGTTTTACTTGTTTCCAACACAAGAAAGGCAAGTTTTTTCCTGCTTCTGTGATGAAGGAAGGCGGGTATGGAACTCCATAATAAACTCCTTTATGGAGTTTGAGTTCATTTCCAACTGGGAAGATGAGTTTTGTTTTGTTTTTTTTCCTTCCCTGCTTCTAGGATGGTAGAGAGCAGCCTTTAGCCTGAGACCCATCCTTAGGTAAGTAACTGAGTTGAATTTTGTCTTGGCTAAGGTTAAGATTAACAACCAGCTGATCTTAATTTCTCCTTGCCATTAGAGCACTCAGTGACAGTATTGTTGCGTTTTCTTTGTTGTTTGTTCTCGTCTTTCTCCCATTGGATTTGACCTACTCTACCCGACTTGGCCAAATCTGAGTGAGAATTCCAAATTATGGGTAACAAGGCCTCTGTAATTTGGCTAAAATTCCTCATAGCTGCAGAAGAAAAAAAAAAAGAGAAAGGGAAAAACCATGTTTTTGGTTTCTGTGTTTTCTTCCTGTCTTAAAAATTGTTCTTTCATTTACTTCTCTTCCATCCTATATTTCCTTGCTCCTTTGTCATCTGCGGTATCAAAAAATTTAGAGAAGCTTTTAATGACTTGAACCCCTTTAAATAATTCAGAACAAAGGTGCCACTCACCCCATTTTGGGATATTCTGTTTTCTTTGTGGAGTTTCAAGAGTCATGGGCAGATTCTTTTTAAGTCTAAATCTCTGTTTTTCTGTGTTACATGACCTGACCTTTTTGGCTTTGGGGTACCAGAGATGACTTTGCATTGTGAGAGGATTTGACATTGGCATGTATAATGGCGAATGAGAGCTACAAAGTTATGAGTGGCTGAGCACAGTTTGCAGGAAGTGGTCTTGGCTGTTTTTTTTTTATTTTGTTTTGTGTTTCATTCTTTTCTCTCCCAGTAAGTTGTTGTTTAAGGATCTTAATTCTAGTTGGTAGATGCATTCTAAAGGGTCTTCTCCCAAAATTCATCTTAATTTGGTTTGTCTATGTGCATTTGAATGAGGAATTGATTGTTTTTTTATGCTAATGAAAAACTGAGTTTTCTCAGCTTCAAAGAGAAAGAACATTTGCTCCTCCCAGCTAAAATGTGCCCTGGGTAACCGGGGGCCTCATGGGAGTGTCTGGGATGTTGAGCCCCCACAACATGCAGTGGTCCTGCAGGGAAATCCCCACCTAAAATTAATTTTAAATATGGTTCATCCAGAAAATGCATATAAAGGCTGATCACCCAGTGCTTTTGAGCCCTCTCAGCAGTCATAGACCTCTGGAGAGAGAAACTGAGATACGTAAGAGGGCGGAAATGACTCAGTGCTGACACTCTGTGGAGTCCTGCCCACAAGCAGCACATATTGATCCACTGCATAAAAACCCTGTGCCACAGCTCAGTTCCTCTTTTTTAACCAAAAAAGACCCCCCAAAAAACAAACAAACAAAAAAACAGTGGGAAACAAATAATCTAAGAATGAGGTGAAAACAAGGAGAACGACCCCCTTTCAAGCACTCTGTGGGTTTTGTGGCATCTCTACTTGCCAGAGTAAAATGGAAGTCATGTGGTCTTTTTGCACATTTACGTTAAGGAAAGAGAACCCTAAGGTTGACCTGCAAACTGTAATGTTCCTAGGTCCCCTTTTCCTCTATTTTCTTTTCCACCTACTTTAAATCTGCTGTTACTTTTCTATTAAGATAAAAAACCACTGTTTGGATCTAACAGGTTTTATTTTTTTCCAAACTTGTGAATTTGTATTTATCTCATGGCTAAAGTACTGAACTAAAAGCTATAGAATCTTTGTGTGTCTGTATGTGTGTATGTGTATGTGTGTGTATATATATATTTAAAGGCCTTTATAATAGACTTCTACAATTTTATGTTCAATTGGCAATTATATCTGTTTTAATTTCCCTCTAGCTCACCAGACTTTCTCTTCGTACCTTATAATGTAAATTTTTCTATCTGATTTTCACCTGAGTTGTTTCCTCTAATATGCAGATTTAGGGCTATTTAGCTGACAACTGCTGCAGTAAGGAAGCAGGTTATCAAGAGTCTGCAAGTCTAAGAGAGGAAAAAAAAAAAAAAGGAGGTCTTAGGAATCTATAAGATGTACTGCTATTGGCATACCTAATATATCTATGTATTTATGTGTTGTGTACACCATGTTTCACTGTTAAAAATATATAAAGAGCTCTAATTAATTTACTAGATTAATGGTGGTTCCATAACTTTAAATGATGCCTATTTCAGTTTTCATAAATAATCTAGGTAAGCAATTAAAATAAAATAATTAGGTAAATGTAATTGGATAAATACTTGTAGACAAAAGTCACAATTTAGAATATAAATTTATATTAAATAATAGATATTTCATCATTTGGATATTTTCCAATAAAAATATATTGTAGGAAAACATTCTTGCTTAAAAAAAAAGTGTCCTTTTCACCTGGGTGCAGTGGCTCATGTCTGTAATCCCAGCACTTTGGGAGGCCAAGGCGGGTGGATCACCTGAGGTAAGGAGTTCAACACCAGCCTGGCCAATGTGGTGAAACCCTGTCTCTACTAAAAATATAAAAATTAGCTGGGTTTGGTGGTGTGCGCCTGTAATCCCAACTACTTGGGAGGCTGAGGCAGAAGAATCACTTGAACCCGGGAGGTGGAGGTTGCAGTGAGCTGAGATCGTGCTAGTGCACTCCAGCCTGGGCAACAGGAGCGAAACTCCATCTCAAAAAAGAAAATGTCCTTTTTAAAAAAGGTGAACAAATTTTGTCTAATTGAAAACTTATTTAAAGGTTATGTATAAAGCAAGGTAAAGGAACCAGGAAATAAGAGAGATGTAAAGAAGGTTATAAAAATAAACAGTTTGTGTGTGTGTGTGTGGTAAGAAAACTTGAAGAGAAATAATTTCATAAGAGAAGGAATCTTGTATGGTAAATTTAGTCCTAAAATAAAATAACTGGTTGTTTAAGAAAAAATGATGTTCAGGACACACTACAAATTCAAATATGTCATGAAGGATCTGTGTAAATCACAAGAAGGGGATTTATTTATTTAAAAAAAAACTTCTAAATGATCAAGTTGTTTATAATTAAAGGAAATTACAATGCTCTTTCCAGAGATTGGGCTTGATGTAAAGAAAACACACTTATACACTAAATTATTGGTTAGAACAATGACATTTTCTTAAGGGGTTGATTTATTCTTAATAAATTATGAGATATTTCAATTTCTGTTAGCCAAAGTTCAACTTTCATTGCATCTTGCCTTTTTTTGACTTTCTCTCCCCTTTTAAAAGCTTGTTTTCTTAAAGTCTAAAGGAAATGTTTTCTTCCAATTTAATATTTGGTGCACTGCAGAAAGTCTTTTTCTTTTGCCTTTTGGTAACTGGCCTAACCGATTTTACATTTTATGAAATAATTCTTATGCCATTATTAATTTTGGTTTGCTTAGGAAAAAACTGAGATTTATTTATTTTTTTAAAATAAATGTTATTACATCCGTGTATCTCTCTGTATTTGCTTTTAAAGTCTTTGTGGCATTTAGTTACAGGGCTTTGACTCCTGGGTCTAAAAAGGATACAAAGCCCTGGTAAATCTTAAACACTGACATTAATTAAAGCCTCATCTTCAGGCTCCATAGAAGATGCCAATCAAAATAAACTGCATTCCTGAGACACAGGGCAATAAATTAAAGCTATTGAACTCCTCAAGGTCCAGAGACTATCGTGGAAGTGGTGGGTGCATGAGATTGTAAGGGCCAATTTTGAAAGATAAAGTAAGTTTAGTTTCTTTATAAATTAATCATTAGTGTCAAAGTGACACTGATGCAAGACCAACATATGCATCCCTGTGTCAGAATAATAAGTTTTTCTTGAAGCATTAATCAACTCCTTAATAAAGGTATAAAGTTTATAAAAAAAGGCTTATGGAAGTTATATTTTATGATCAATATTAAAATCTTATAGATTGTTTATAATATTTTGAAAAACAAATTTAATTGACTTTATGCTGTTTTTATTAGGGCATATTGTTGGGAAAATTAGTCTTCTATCTCAAAGAATGAAGGTTCTCACTTGTTTTTGAAATCCTTGAGTTATCACTTTGGTTAAATGAATGACATATTTTACAATGACTGGTGATCCTATTTTGTGATATCGAGTCTTTTAAACCTTTGATATTTGACAAACTTTCAAAAATCAAATTATGAATTATGTCTTTTTCTGACCTAATTAATCCTTTGAGATATTAGGTTCTCTAAAGCCCCAAAAATGACACAATTTGGCTTATTTGACATAAAAATGATATAGGAAGCACTGTCAAATATAAAATGGTGTTTGGTTTTCTTTGAGCTATATTTGTATAAATATGTTATTGATATGTGTTCCAAAATTATGAAAAACTCCTGTAATTCTGACATGACTTAATATACGTTATCAGTAATAATCATAATTGATGTGTTAAAATATTTGTCTGCCACAGACATAAAAAAATTTCCTTTATCAATTGTGTCTTTGACCTTTTTCTTCCATGGACAATAGTTGTGTTGTTTTGGTCCTCTTTAGAAGGTGGTTTTATAATCAGCCATAAAACTCTAACAGGTGCTCTTGAATGCAGGTTTCTCATAACTTTGGAGATTGTGACATCAGAATAGAGGAAAAACTTTCAGGACTCATTAGAGCTAAAATGGTCATAAATATCAAGCAGAACAGGAATTAACTGCATGGTCTGAACTAATCTTTTTGACTTTTTGTGTAAACCATTGCTGATCCTTTGTTTTGTTTTTCAGGGTCTTGAAACTTTTCTTTTGAGCTACTGACAGCTTTTTAACAATTTAGTATACTCCTATGAACAAAATTTGGAGCATATTTATTTCTCTTTATCTGATTTTTTTCAGAATTTGGAAACTATTTGTGAGTATTCTTAACTTACAGCAATACAGTTATTTGCATAAGTGCAATAAGAATCTGTTTTCATTTGTAACAGGACACAGTTGGAGAAACTGGTTATTTTACTAAGGCTTTTACTGGATTGGTGTGCTTTCCTTTAGGAATCAAACTTCACTTATGGAGCCAATAAATCATTTGGGAAAACTGGCCACATAGTTTACACAATTCCTATACAGAGTTTCTGACCCGTGGTAGGTAAAGATTGTCACTTTCTGACAGGTCCAGGAGCCCCAGGTTTATCTTGGAACCTCAAGAGGAGAGGAAATCCTTCCAACTCATAGGTATTTGATGGCACAAATCCATGGCTGGGCTGGGCTTTAAAAAAGTCTTATCTGAGAGTTCTTCTACAGAACAAAGTTCCATCAAGGCCAATTTTAAAAGCCTATGTGAAAAATT
The DNA here is from genome assembly GCF_000001405.40 of Homo sapiens. Lineage (NCBI taxonomy): Eukaryota > Metazoa > Chordata > Mammalia > Primates > Hominidae > Homo > Homo sapiens. The sequence goes on along the minus strand of NC_000004.12, from coordinate 92,031,887 downwards.
ATTATCTTGCGGAACTTTATATAAATAATCTGGCAAAGTATAATAAAGCAAATCAGTCCTACCATGATTTGTCTTCAGTAAAAATGGAAAAATGGAGAGAGAAAAATTGTTTCAAAAACTATAGTATACCTGTTGTCAGACTTTATTCTTGCCTAATGTTTTCCAATTTTTATTACTTTCTACAGTTTGGGCTGAATTCTAATTTATCCTGGCTACAGGTCTCTAAAATTATATATATAATTTACAAAGTATAAAAAATGTTTTTTCTTCTTTCTTTTCCTTCCCCCCATTTTTTCTGATTTTACATAATTGAAAATTAAGCTGTACTTTTGTAAATCCCTGTGAACTGAAGCTAGACAACTTAAACTTCAGAAGGATATAACAGCAAACTATTTACACACACAAGCCACTTTCATACCTGCATATTGATATGTGAACTTCAAAGTAATGTGGCCTATATCACTTTTCTAGGATTTTTCTTTTGTTTCTTGTTGTTTTTTCTCCTTTCTTCCTCCTATTTTCTCTTCATAAGGCATGAGACTTCACAACCTTCTAAAAATGAGCCTTCCTAATAACTTGGGACTTACCTGTCTAGGAATAAACCATCCTAACCATAAGAGATCAGATGAAACCTGGGTCCAAATACTCATTTTCTTCTAAAATTCTTTCTCCAGAAGATTTTAAAAAATAAAGGGTGAAATGTGAAAGGAAAACATCTTGGGCCCTTTCATACGCATCCGTGTGAAGAGACCACCAAACAGGCTTTGTGTGAGCAACAAAGCTGTTTATTTCACCTGGGTGCAGGTGGGCTGAGTCCGAAAAGACAGTCAGCGAAGGGAGATAGGGGTGGGGCCATTTTATAGGATTTGGGAAGGTAATGGAAAATTACAGTCAAAGGGGGTTGTTCTCTGGTGGGCAGGGGTGGATCTCACGAAGTACATTCTCAAGGGTGGGGAGAATTACAAAGAACCTTCTTAAGGGTGGGGGAGACTACAAAGTCCCTTCTTAAGGGTGGGGGAGATTACAAAGTACATTGATCAGTTAGGGTGGGGCAGGAACAAATCACAGTCGTGGAATGTCATCAGTTAAGGCTGTTTTTACTTCTTTTGTGGATCTTCAGTTACTTCAGGCCATCTGGATGTATACGTGCAAGTCACAGGATGCGATGGCCTGGCCTGGGCTCAGAGGCCTGACATTCCTGCCTTCTTATATTAATAAGACAAATAAAACAAAATAGCATTGAAGCGTTGGAGCGGCGAAAATTTTTGGGGGTTGGTATGGAGAGAGAATGGGCGATGTTTCTCAGGGCTGCTTCAAGCAGGATTGGGACGGCGTGGGAACCTAGAGTGGGAGAGATTAAGTTGAAGGGAGGTCTTGTGGTAAGGGGTGATATTGTGGGGATGTTAGAAGAAACATTTGTCGTATAGAATGATTGGTGATGGCCTGGATATGGTTTTGGATGAATTGAGAAGCTAAACAGAAGATACAAGGTCTGAATAAAAGGAGGAGAAAAATGGGTATTAAAGGACTAAGAATTGGGAGGACCCAGGACACCCAATTAGGGAGTGACCAAGGGGGTTCAGTGAAATTACTTGCTTGGTTGGTAAGTTTTTGGGCTCTATCCTTGAATTTTTTTATGTTGTCATACACCAGGCCAGATTGATTTAGGTAAAAACAACACTCCTCATTTAAGAATATGCAGAGTCCTCCTCTTTAAGCAGTAAGTAAGTCAAGGCCTCGGCGGTTTTGGAGGACAACTGCAGCTAAAGAGTCAACTTGGGCCTGGAGGACTGATAAAGTTTGTGATATGTCTGTGATGCTAGCAGAGAAGTCATTAGAGAGGCTATGGAAGGTCGTGACAGAGGTTGAAATGCCTGCTATTCCAGTACCGAGAGCAATAGTGGAGGCAGAAAGTCCTAAACCGACCAGCAAGGGAATTAGTGGAATAACTCTTTTTTGTCGTGTCACTGTCATGAGGGGAACAGGGAGCTCTTTGGTCCCAATTGCAAATTGAATTTTGGGGGTAAGGAAGACTAGTGTGCATGTGCCTGTCCAATTAGCAGGTAGACACATGTAGGTAGAGGATCCACAGAGGAAGAACAGACCTTGTGTGAGGCAAAACTGGAGATGTAAAGTAAAAAGATGAGAAGGAGTGCTGAAAGGGGTGTCTTGTACCCAGACTCCTAGGGATCCAGCTAAGGCAGCAGCTGTCAGAGATTGTAATGGGGACTGATGGGGTAACTGCATAGAGGGTGAGGTTCATTTTTCATGGTGTATGAGAAAACGTTGAGTATCTATGAGCAACCTTTCACTGTTATTTTTGGGGCTGGGTATAAGTAAACAAGAAGAGGGCCTGGGAGGAGAGTCTGATGAGCAAGGGGAAGGTAGCCAAGGATGGAGCGAAATACAGGGCAAGTGTCTTCCTAGGCAATAATTACTGTTAATGTTTTTAAGTTTGTCAGTATTGATAGAGGGCTTGTCTGTAATATGGAGCTGGAAGGCTCCAATTATTTCAGTGATGTGTGTAGTTGGACTTCGGAGATGAAGAGTAAAGGAACATCGAGAAGGTGAAAAATTACCTAGGGGAATTCCAGTGGGTCTTTGCCGAGAGATACATAAAGGAGCAGCCACAGGAATAGTAGTTTTTGTTGTGAGAGGTCCAAATATGGGGGGAGTAGAGTTAATATAAGGAGAAAGGTTTTTTAAATAATTGCGAAGGAGGGCGGCAGCTTGCTGATGTGAAATGTCTGGGGAAGTCTTGCTGGACCTGTCTAGGAAGTAAATGAGTTCTTCAGGAGGGTAAAGGTGAGGGCTGTTAAAGGAAGTTCAGAGGTGTAGGGAGACGGGAGGTGTTGCCCAGTCTGTCTGTAAGGCGGGGACAGCTGTGTAGGCACTGGAAGAAAGAGACATGCAAAGCCAGCAGTTGTTCGCCAAGGAGGGATTAGAAGCGGCTAGGAGAGAATGGGTAAGGTTGATAGTGTGGTGGAGATAGCTGGGGAGAGGTAGAGGGTGGCATAAGAATGGGAATGAGAATAAGAGTGAGTAAAAAGTAAAGAATAGAACTTCATCAGGGTGGAAGTATTGGAGGGTGCCTTGCCAGCAAAGATCATCTACCCACTCTAAGAGGGAGTTAAGAGTGGCAGTTTGGGGATAGCACCAAGAGATATCAGCTGTGATGGTTTGAAGAAACAGTGTAAACCAGCAGTGTAAACAGGAGTAGGGCATTTATAAGTAGTTGAGAATGGAGAATAGGAGTATGACCGGACAGAAGATAGTAGGGATGACTAGTTTTTTGGGGCTCAGCCTAAGTGGTGGGGGTGGCTTCATAAAGCCCTGTTGCAAAATGTAGGGTAAGGACGAAAAGACCTAATAGAATGAAGGGATGTATTAGGCTCATAAGAGTTATTACTGTTCTTCAGAAATACGAGTGAGTTTAAGGGAAGTAGGGGAGAGTACTTGCGACTTCCAGGAGGAAGAGGAGGGATTAGGCTGGCTGTCCGATGGACACAGCTTTATTCTGGAACGGTGAACCAAGTGGGGAGGATCCTGCAGGCGGACGGCAGTCGGGGTACTATAGATGACTAAGTAGGATCCGGCTCATCGAGGTTGTAGAGTTTGAGGGGTCAGATTCTTAACAAGAACTGATCGTACAGCTAGGGTGTCTTCATATGGCTGGGGATCCTCCACTGTGAGAGTTACCCAAAGCTCGGCATCTGTGATGGTCCAGGGGGCTTCCGAGGCGATCGGGCAGCGTCAATCTTCAGTCACTAAGCCAAGCAGATCTGGGAAGGAGTCAGTCAGAGAGCCTTGGGCTAGAGCTTTAGGGGCTCTAGGAGTGGCTCCCGGGCGAGCTGGGCAGTCTGATTTCCAGTGGGTCCCTGGGAAATTTGCCTGGTGGTTCCATTGGGGATCCTCTCAGGGAACTGCTCTAATGCCTTCCTGGAGGTCTGGCTCATGAAGCCGGTGGTTATCAGCATGAGATTGGGCTAGAGAAAAAACTCTTTCCTGTTCATCTGGGGAGAGGGTAGAAGTCAGGATGACATTTAAGTTACTCCAGGTTAAGTTGTAGGACAGAGTTAGATATTGGAATTCCTGTATATATTTAGTGGGGTCTGATGAGAAAGAGCCTAAACGTTGACTGATCTGAGAGAGGTCTGATAGAGAAAAAGGTACATGTACCCTGACTATGCCTTCAGCTCCAGCCACCTCTCTAAGAGGAAATTGTTGGGCAGGTGGGGAAGAGCTAGTCGCGGAACTAAACTGTAAGCCGGACCAGGTGTGAGGAGGGGAGGTGATAGAAGGATTATAGGGTGGAGGAGTGGAGGCTGAGGAAGTATCGGGAGTTAGCTCGGTCTGGTGACGAGCAGCTTGGGGAGGAGGGGAAAGGTCAGATGGGTCTGTAGAAAAGGAAGACTGGGAAGACTCAGCGATGCTTGGGGTTGGGACTGAGGGGACAGGCAGGAGGGAAAGAAGGAGGATCTGGGAGGAATCACATTGGGAACAGAGGCTAGGGAGGGAATGAAGTGTGAAAAATGCCTGGACGTAAGGCACCTCAGACCATTTGCCCATTTTTCGACAAAAATTATTTAGGTCTTGTAGGATGGAGAAATCGAAAGTGCCGTTTTCTGGCCATTTAGAGCCATTGTCAAGTTTGTATTGGGGCCAAGCAGTGTTGCAGAAGAAAATAAGGCATTTAGGTTTTAGGTCAGGTGTGAGTTGAAGAGGTTTTAAGTTCTTGAGCACACAGGCTAAGGGAGAAGAAGGAGGAATGGAGGGTGGAAGGTTGCCCATAGTGAAGGAAGCAAACTCAGAGAAAAGAGAATGTAGAGACACAGAGGGAAGGGGTTTCGGGGTTCTTGCCCCCTAGAAAAGCAGGACTTGCTGCTAAGGGTGAAGGAGAAGGGGTTGAGGGGTACTTGCCCCTGCCCCAGGAAAGTGGGACTTGCCGCTAAGGATGAAGGAGAAGGGGTTGAGGGGCACTTGCCCCTGCCCCAGGAAAGCAGAGAAGGGGTAGAGACAAGGAGAGAAGGGGTTGGGGTACTTGCCCCTTCCCCAGAAAAGCAGAGAAGGGGTACAGACAAGGAGAGAAGGGGTTGGGGTACTTGCCCCTTCCCCAGAAAAGCAGAGAAGGGGTACAGACAAGGAGAGAAGGGGTTGGGGTACTTGCCCCTTCCCCAGAAAAGCGGGACTTGCCAATAAGGGTGAAGGACCAAGGCAGGCGCCCCTGCGTGGTCTGACACCCTTGAAACGTGGGTGTATAATCAGAGAGGCGTCCCTGCATTGATTAAACACCAAGGGAAGGCTGCCTTCCCAGTCCGTGACTGGCGCCGGAGTTTTGTGTCCACGGATAAAACGTGTCTCTTTTGTCTCTACCAGAAAATGAAAGGAATTGAAATTAAGAGAAGGGAGAGATTGAAGTGTAGCGCCAAGATTGAAAGAAGAAAGAGGTTGAGGGATAGTGAGGGAAGTTGGAGAAGAGAGTAAAAAGAGGCCGCTTACCAGATTTGAAATTGGTGAGATGTTTCTTGGTCTGGTCCGTCTGAGGACCTGAGGTCGTAGGTGGATCTTTCTCACGGAGCAAAGAGCAGGAGGACGGGGGATTGATCTCCCAAGGGAGGTCCCCCGATCCGAGTCACGGCACCAAATTTCATACCCATCCATGTGAAGAGACCACCAAACAGGCTTTGTGTGAGCAATAAAGCTGTTTATTTCACCTGGGTGCAGGTGGGCTGAGTCCGAAAAGACAGTCAGCAAAGGGAGATGGGGTGGGGCCATTTTATAGGATTTGGGAAGGCAATGGAAAATTACAGTCAAAGGGGGTTGTTCTCTGGTGGGCAGGGGTGGATCTCACAAAGTACATTCTCAAGGGTGGGGAGAATTACAAAGAGCCTTCTTAAGGGTGGGGGAGACTACAAAGTCCCTTCTTAAGGGTGGGGGAGATTACAAAGTACATTGATCAGTTAGGGTGGGGCAGGAACAAATCACAGTCATGGAATGTCATCAGTTAAGGCTGTTTTTACTTCTTTTGTGGATCTTCAGTTACTTCAGGCCATCTGGATGTATACGTGCACGTCACAGGGGATGCGATGGCCTGGCCTGGGCTCAGAGGCCTGACAGGCCCCAAAATCACTAAGCTAAAAGAAAAATTCAATCTTGCAATTTCTTAGGGCAAACATGCCTCCCATTCTATTCAAAGTAATCCCACTGTTCACTTAGATAAATGCATATCTGATTGCCTCCTTTGGAGAGGCTAATCAGAACCTAAAAAGAATGCAAACATTTGTCTCTCACCTACCTGTGACCTGGAAGCCCCCTCCCCACCTGGATTTGCCTCACCTTTCTGGACTGAACCATTGTTCACTTTACATATATTGATTGATGTCTCATGTCTCCCTACAATGTATAAAACCAAGCTGTGCTCTCACCACCTTGGGCACATGTGGTCCTCAGGAGGTGCATGTCCTCAACCTTGGCAAAATAAACTTTCTAAATTTACTAAGACCTGTCTTAGTTGTTGGTGTTCATATGGGTATGGCTTTATTAGCAACATGAAAATAAACTAATACAGTAAATTGGTACTGGGTAGTGGGGTGCTCCTGTAAAGATACCCAAAAATGTGGAAGCAACTTTGAAACTGGGTAACAGGCAGAAGTTGGAACAGTTCAGAGGCCTCACAAGAAGACAGGAAAATGTGGGAAAGTTTGTAACTTCCTAGAAACTTGGAGGGCTCAGAAGACAAGATGTGGGAAACCTTGGAACTTCCTAGAGACTTGTTAAACAGCTTTGACCAAAATATTGATAATGATATGGTGGTCTCAGATGGAGATGAGGAAGTCGTTGGGAACTGCAGTAAAGGTCACTCTTGCTATGCAAAGAGACTGTCGGCATTTTGCCCCTATCCTAGAGATCTGTGGAATTTTGAACTTTAGAGAGATGATGTAGGGTATCTGGCAGAATAAATTTCTAAGCAGCAAAGCATTCAAGAGAAAGCAGAGCATAAAAGTTTGAAAAATATGTAGGCTGATTATGGAGTAGATAAGAAAACCCTGCTTCCTCAGGAGAAATCAAGCCAGCTGCAGAAATTTGCATGAATAATGAGAAGCCAAATGTTAGTCACCAAGACAATGGGGAAAATGTCTCCAGGGAATGTCAGAGACCTCTGTGGCAGTCCCTCCCATCACAGGTCCAGAGGCCTAGAAAGAAAAAAGTGGTCTTGTGGGCCAGGCCCAGGATCCCCCTGCTGTGTGCAGCCTAGGAAATTGGTGCTCTGTGTCTCAGCCACTCCAATCATGGCTAAAAGGGGCCAAGGCACAGCTTGGGTCATGGCTTCAGAGAGTGCAAGCCCCAAGCTTGGCAGCTTCCACGTGGTGTTGAGCCTGTGGTTGCACAGAAGTCAAGAATTGAGGTTTGGGAACCTTCACCTAGATTTCAGAGGATATGTAGAAAAGCCCTGATGTTCAGGCAAAAGTTTGCTACAGGGGCAGCGTCCTTGTGGAGAAGTTCTGCTAGGGCAGTGCAGAAGGAAAATGTGGGTAGGAGCCCCCACACAGAATCCCCAGTGGGGCTCTGCCTAGTGGAGCCATGAGAAGAGGGCCATCATTCTCCAGACTCCAGAATGGTAGATCTATAGACAGCTTTCACTGTGTGCCTAAAAAAGCCGCAGACACTCAACACCAGCCTGTGAAAGCAGCCAGGAGGGGGACTGTATCCTGCAAAGCTACAGGGGCAAAGCTGCCCAAGGCTTGGGGACCCACGTCTTGCATTAACGTAACTTGTATTTGAGACATAGTGTCAAAGGATATTATTTTGGTAATTTAAGGCTTAATTACTGCTCTATTAAATTTTGGACTTGTGTTGGGCCTGGAGCCCCTTCATTTTGGCCAATTTCTCCCATTTGGAATGTATTTACCTGGACCCCTATTGTATCTAGGAAGTAAGTAACTTGCTTTTAATTTTATAGGGTCTTAGGCAGAAGGGACTTGCTTTGTCTCAGATGAGACTTTGGGCTGTGGACGTTTGAGTTAATGCTGAAATGAGTTAAGACTTTGGAGAACTGCTGGGAAGGAATGATTGGTTTTGAAAGGTGAGGACATGAGATTTGGGTGGGGCCAGGGGCAGAATGATATTGTTTGGCTGTGTCTGCACCCAAATCTCATCTTGAATTGTAGCTCTCATAATCACCACGTGTCATAGGAGGGATTCAGTGGGAGGTAATTGAATCATAGGGGCGGGTTTTTCCCATGCTATTCTCATGATAGTGAGTAAGTCTCAATAGATCTGATGGTTTTACAAAGGGCAGTTCCTCTGCACACAATCTCTTGCCTGCCACCATGTAAGACATGCCTTTGTTGCTCCTTAGCCTTTCACCATGGTTGTGGGTCCTCCCCAGCCATGCTGAACTGTGAATCATTTAAACCTCTTTCCTTTATAAACTACCCAGACTCAGGTATGTCTTATTAGTGGTGTGAAAATGAACTAATACAAGATTCACTGGGAGATGGGAAAGGGTGACTATGTCAGAACTGGGAAAGTACAAGAGAGAAGTAAACACTGCCACAGTACATATAGACTCAAAATTAAAAATCAAGAAATAACAGGATAAACATGAGTTTTAGAAATAAGGAATAAGAAAAAGAATGGATACATTTGAAAGATTGTTATAGGACTTGGATTTAGGTCAGAACTGATTGAGAAGAGCTATTTTTTCATTACTTACATTATACTTTAAGCTAGATATAAATTGCTTCATTGGGGAGAAAATGATTCCAATTTTTTGAAATCTTTAGGATATTAGGCATCTAGTTGAAGATAACCAGATGTAGATCAATTCCATATGACCTTATTCTCTTCCCCATTTTTAGATATTAATCATATAAATATCATAGTTTATTAAATTTTTGTGCAGTACTTTACAAATATTTTCATTTGCATTATCAAATTTATTTCTGGTAATAAGCCTATGAAATACAGAGAGAAGGAGTTACCTGGAGTAAGATTGTCCTGATATGTATATATATAATATATATAAGTATATGAATATCTATTTAATTTATAATAGTGTACATATTATAGCTATCAAATTTTTAGAAAAAAACTGAGGTCTTTCAAGTAATTAAGTAAGTAATCAACAGCAGAATATTTTATGTGGTTATGTGACCATACTAAACAATGGTAGAAATACTATGTTTAAGTATAAATCATAAAGAAATTACCTCTGTGCTGTCGGTCTAATGGACATAAATTATGTTTATAAAAAACTATTGAGCATATAGTGGGTTGAATTTGGTGTCTTACAAATGGAATATAAAGAGAAGTATAAACTCACTGCTGAACTTAAAGAGATTACAGTGAAATGTAGAGTTAAAAAAATGATAGTGATTAAGTGCTTTTTATGTTCCAAGTAGTGTTTTCCATTTGTTATCTCACTAGATAGCACATATATGCTTGGAGTTGGTTCTCTTTATTATTCCCAGTTTACAGAGGATGAAGCCAGGGATTAGAGTGATTAAATAATATGTGCAAAGTGATACATAGCTGGTAAACATTGAAGCAGGTATTCAAACCAAGGCAGTCTAGCTCTAGAGACAATGTTTATGAAAATTGTACTCAAATATATTTTTCAAATATAAATACAATGATAATAAAACTACACCATGAAAGTAAATTTTTTAAAAAAATATATAATGTATGAAGAATTTTGTTTGGAGGAAAAAGTACTTTATCATTTGTTCTCTTATACACAGCCACAGAGAGCAGAACACTTAGGGCGATTGTATTGCACCACCTTAAGAAAGGTAATCACAACAGGGATTAAAAAAACAGAACCATATTGGAGGAGTCTTCTGGATGAAGAAAAGTTATTTTTAGAGGCTTAACAGTAAGGCAGTTGGCATAAGTGTTAAGAGCACAGACCTTGGAACCAGGCAGCCTGTGTTTGAAACTTGGTTCTATAACTTACAAGCTCTGTGACCTTGATCTACTTACCTAATATCTTTGTTCTCAGATTTTTCTCACTGGTTCAATGGAGATATTAACATTGTCTACTTCATAGGTTTGTAATGAAGATTAAATCGTTGTTATATATAACATGCTAAGAACAGAATAAGCAGTATGTATTCAATATCATCATCATCACTATCATATTTATTTCTATGATTATGTAATTAGTTTATTGGTGATAAAGAAGCCTATTATAAAAGGTTGAACTTGTGAAAGACTAAGTGCAGTAGACTGTTAAGGAGATTATTTTATTAAGGTTATGGTCATAGAGAGAACATTAATTAATGAGAAATGTCTCAAAGAAAGAAAGGGGTCTGGTGTTTTATGGAGGCAAATAAACAAGTGTGTCACTTGAGTCTTATAGAGATCATGATAATGTTCGAAATTGTCAATCCCTCTTTTTGTACAAGACAAATGTCTTCATTGCTAAATAACTTGAGTTGATCATTAACTTTCTGAGTGAGGCAAAGAAGCATGTCAGAAATAGTCACTGGAAGATTCTTTTTTTTTTTTTTCTGTAAAACTGGTTGAACCATCTGTTGAATGGCTCAGCAGAGTTGAGAACCCTTGTTATGACTGTTCTTGTCCTGGAGTTTAGGAATCTTAAAAGAGGGAAGCCTAAAATAATGAAAAAGAGAAATATTGATATAAAATATTGTATTAAAATAAAGAATCCAGGTTTGGACCCTGAGATTAACCAGTCTAGTGGATTCCAGGAGGTTATGCAGCACTACTAATTGAGTTCTCAAAACTCTCAAGCTAGAAAATTGATGCCTTGGTGGATGCTGACCATAGTCTGGTTACCTCTTGTATCATGACATGGATATTTTGCTAGACTTCCTTAATGATCCAGATAGGACCTTGTACAGGAAGAATTTGGGCCCATGGATGGTCTCTTGCAGTGGTTAGTCCTTCAAGATTTATATCAAGTAGCCAAGGTTCCACTTGCAGAACTTCTTCAGATCCTGGTAAAATGGCCAGCCCCAACACAATCAGAGTCAAGATAAAGATATGCAAAGTCAAGTTTTACTTCTTGGTGACACTGAGGAAGGAGAAAGATTGGAAAACTTAGTTTGGAGGGCTATTGACAGATATTAAAGAAAACTTGGAGAATTGAAATTTTGTCAAGGATTGACAACTTGGACAAGGTAATAATATCTGTCTAATCTATAAGTAGGTACCAAAACTGATTTTATATGGAAGGTTAGGAAGTCAATTAAATGTCCATCAGGCAAAACAGAATTTGCATATTCATCAGCTATTGGCAAATTACATAGTGGTGAAAAATAGCTAAAGATGAATGTGGGCTCCAGATAGCTCAGAATGAATAGGGCTAGAATTTGATAAACCAAAAGGATATGCTATAGATGACACATTGTTTGTAACTGATTCACAAAGTTTCTCTTCAGAGTGACCCCTTTTTTGATAAAAACTAATTTCAAAGAAAGATTATTCTTGATCACAAAATAGTATTATTATTAGATAGTAGTACCATTAGATTTGGCTGGATTATTACATAGGAGGGGCAAGAGTAGTAAATTACCATATTGGATTTTTAAATTTTGATTTGCTGGAAGTTTTCATTAAAAAGAAAATCTAATATTGTACTTTTAAAAGTCTCTTAAAACTAGAAGTCAAGCCAAGAGCTGGTGTGGTGTCAGACCAATGCCCTCCACAAAGATGTCCACATCCTAATCCCTGGAACCTATGAATATACAACTTTATATGAGAAGGGGAAATTACAATTCAAGATCGAATTGGTTGCTATTCAACTGATCATAAAACAGAGAGATTATCCTGGATTATACAGATGGTACCTATATAAAGTTTACTGTTCTTAAATAGGGAAGAAGGAAGCAGAAAAAGAGAATCCAAATTATGAGTTGTGATGAAATCAACTTGTACTTGCTGGCTTTGAAAATGAAGAAAGGTAGTCACAAGCCAAGGAATTAAAGAATAGGGGTGGCTTCTAAAAGCTGGAAGAGGAAAGAAATTGAATTATTTCCTACAGTCTACAGAAAGGAATGTAGACATTCTAGTATCTTGAATTTAGCCCAGTGATACCCATTTCAAACTTCTGAATTACAAAACTTTAAGATAATAAAATATTTTGTTTTGTCTACAAGTTTGTGGTATTTTGTTATAGCAACAATAGGAAACTAACAAACGGGTCATCACCTGAAAACCTTTAAATTTCAGTGTTACTTTTTTTTTCTTAAAGCCCCCAAAACATTCTGAGTTTTGTGGTCTTGATAGGAAGTGGCCTTCTTTACGCATCTGTAATGTTGGAAATCCTGTAAGCCATGTATGAAGGTAGTTTTCCCAAGAGGGCTTTGTGATTATTGTCTCGATAAGCCAACCTTAGTTCCTTAAAATTATATGGTCATATCTGAGTATGTGAGCATCATCCTCAAATGTGATAGCCCAGACAAGGCTTTGGGTACATATTTTCCAATTATGTCCTGCTAACAAAGAAAACATGCTCTATTGAATATATTAAAAGACTTATATTTCCACAAAAATAATGATACTCAATAAGATTTTTTTGAATTCAGGAATGGTCAGGCAGAGTGAAAAACATATCATTTACAAATGTATAATTTTAGTTTGCAAAACCATAGTTTACTAAATTGTTATAAGTTATACATAGCTTAAAAGAAAAGATTAGGAGACGCTTTGTATGTCTAAAAAACAGAACAATAAAAAATCAGAATAATTTGAAACAAAATCCACAATAATCTCTCATCAATACACTCAGTCTTATATAATTAATTCTTTTCGTGATCTATCTTTGGTGAACATATTGTGAACCTGTCCACCTCTTACTTAGAGTTTTGGAAATACAAAGAAGTGATCCAAAAGCTGTTTAAATACTGCTGTCAGAAACCTGTACCCAAAAGTACCTTGTATAGTCCTTTCCTATGGATCTCTAACACAGTTTCTGTTGTTGTTGTTGTTGTTGTTAAATATGAAGCATACTGGCTTAAGGCTGATCACAAGTGCTTTCAGGGTAGCATTAGAATAAAACAAAAACTATGCATAGATGACAAAGACTTAAAAAGGCTGTGGGTAACTTAATATTAGTAATTTAAAAAACTGAAATATCTGATGAGAGTTCATTACAAGAATAATACGAGTGAAAAAGAAAATTTGTTTATTTCCTGTGGCATGCAAAATAAGATAAAAGTCAATCCAAAATTATATTAGACAAAAATTTATAAGCATAATAAAACTATTTGCAAAAATAGTAGATACAGTTAGTACATTTAACTTACAAAGCTGAAAGGGACATATTATTTACAAAGAAAATACTCCAGATATCAAAACATATAGTCAGAATATATCAAGAATAAAAATAAATTATGTAAATCTGGAATATCTGTATATTAATAAAACTCTACAGTTAAATGATATGAATCCCCAGTTCAAAACCAATGGCCTAAGAGAGATGCCCTGTTTATATTAAAGAACTAGATTTACAAACAAGTTGATGTCTTACAAATAACTGAAATTATTACTGAAAATACTATACTATTGTCTAATATCAGCAAAGCAGCCAAAGAACAATGATAGAAACATGCCATGGACTGTGAGGACAAAGACAAATCATACGAACTTCACATACATGTTCTGTAATCCATACATTAAGAACATTTTAGCAATACAATTTAACCCTAGAAAGTCTAAGAATCTCTTCTGATTTGACCATTCTTCATATACATTGCATCAACAGTAACATATTAAATGAACCTAATTATTTCTGCCACCCCTTCTTTTCGAAGTGAAAGAAATCATTTGTGATTTTCCAGAAGCCTTCTGGGAAATCAAAAATACAGTTTTAAGCTCAAAAGGTATCATTTATAATTTTTATTTTAATTAATATACCTTTTAGAGTCATTTAGGGTGATACAAAAGTTGAACAGAAATTACAGTGTTCTTGTATACTTCCTTTCTCTACCTGTCAGTTTTCCCTATTACTGACATCTTCATTCGTGTGGTATATTTGTTACAAGTGACAGACAAATGCTAGTATGTTATTATTGACTAGTGCCATAGTTTATATAAGGGTTCTTTCTTTGTATTGTGCATTCTACAGGTTTTGCCAAATGCATAAGCTCGTGTATCCACCATTACAGTATCATATAAAATAGTTTCACTGCCTTAAAAATTCCTCCTATTCTACCTATTCATTCCTCCTCCTCACCCTTAATGCCCTGGCAAGAGCTGATTTTTTTAATGTCTCTACAGTTTTGCCTTTTCTAGAATGTCACACAATTGGAATCATACAGTACATAGTTTTTAAGACTGGCTTTTTTTCACCTAGCAATATGCATTTAAGGTTCCTGCATGTCTTTTGGTGGCTTGATAGCTCATTTCTTTTATTGCTGAATAACATTCTATTATTCAGATGTTATTCCACTATTCAGATGGATGTTCCACGGTTTTTTTTTTAAATAATTCATTCACCTATTTAAAGACATCTTAGTTTTCTCCAATTTTTGGCAATTATAAAACAAGATGCTATAAACATTCATATGAAGATTTTTGTGTAGACATGAAGTTTCAACTTACTTGGGCAAATACTAAGGAGTGTGGTAGCTGAATCATATGGTAAAAGTATAAAAGTATGAGAGTATGCTTAGTTTTGTAATAACTTTAAAAACTACCTTCCGGCTGGGCACAGTGGCTCACGCCTGTAATCCCAGCATTTTGGGAGGCTGAGGTGGGTGGATCACGAGGTCAGGAGATCGAGACCATCCTGGCTAACACAGTGAAACCTCGTCTCTAGTAAAAATACAAAAAAAAAAAAAAATTAGCCGGGTGTGGTGGCGGGCGCCTGTAGTCCCAGCTACTCGGGAGGGTGAGGCAGGAGAATGGCTTGAACCTGGGAGGCGGAGCTTGCAGTGGGCTGAGATCGCGCCACTGCACTGCAGCCTGGGCTACAGAGCGAGACTCCATCTCAAAAAATAAATAAATAAATAAATAAATAAATAATTAAAACTATCTTCCAAAGTGGCTGTACCATTTTGCATTTCCACCAGTAATGACATTTCCTGTCAATCCACATTCTCTTCAATATTTAATTCCGTCCATGTTTTGGATTTTCCTACATTTCGATTATAATTACTTATAATGTTGAGCATTGTTTTATATTCTTATTTGCCATATATATATATTTGTTGTTGTTGTTGAGGTGGCTGTTCAGATCATCTGCCTATTTTTTCATTGGACTTTTAAAAAAAATTGTTGAGTTTTAAGAGTTCTTTGTATATTTTGGATACAAGTCTTTTATTAGATATGTGTTTGCAAATATTTTCTCCAAGTCTGTTGTTTGTCTTTCCATTCTCTTAACATTATCTTTCACAGAGCAGACGTTTTTAATTTTAATTAAGTCTAACATTTTAATTTTTTTCATAGATCACGCTTTTGTTGTTGTATCTAAAAATTCATTTCCAAACCTAAGTTACCATGGAGTTTATCCTATGTTACATTCTAGAAATTTTGCATTTCATATTGCATTATATTTAGATTGATTTTTAGTTACTTCTATATTTAGGTTAATTTTTTAGTTAATTTATATTAAGTAAGGTCAGTGTCTAGATTCACTGTTTTGCAACTAGCTACCTGGTTGTTTCAGCACCATTTGTTGAAAAGACAATCTTTTTTTCATTTGTTAGTTCTTTTCTCCTTTGTCAAAAATCAGTTGAGTATATTTGTTAGGGTCTATTTCTGGGTTTTCTACTCTGTTTCATTGATCCATCTGTCTGTTACTTTGCCAATCTATGTGTCTGGATTACTGTAGCTTCATAGTAAGATTTGAAATCAGGTAGTGTCCTCTGACTTGATTCTTCTTCTTCAATATTGTGTCAGGTATTCTGGTCTTTTGACTTTCTATGTAAACCTTAGAATTAGTTTACTATGTTGACAAGCAACTTGCTGGGATTTTGATTGTGATTATATTGAATCTATAGATCAAATTGGCAAGAACTGACATTTTAACAAGTTTGAGTTTTCTTATTCACGAATATGGAATGTTTTTTCATTTGTTTGGGTCTTTTGTGACATAATACTATTTTTGGAAAGCAAAATATCAAAATATTTCAAGAGATTTGAATAGTTGATAAAGACAAGATAATAGGTTATAGGGGAAAATTATTTGGTTGCCTATTTAACCAAAATGACAATAAAATACTTTGAAAGTAAACCTATGAGATTACATGATTGTATTTCTTTCAAAAGTGAGAAGGTTGCTAATCAGGAACAGTGCACAAGGTACACCAAGAGACCTTATTACCAACAGACCTCATTACCTGGGTAGAATAAATATGGATCCATGGTAGTTTCAATTTTCTTTGAGTCTTGGCATCAAAGCTTTGAAAGACAAAATGCACTGGACAATTAAAGAGATAATTTTATTTATGCTATTTATTCTAAGAAAGAGAATGTTAAGTAAGGAAAAGGAAAGGAAGGGGATTTTTACAAAGGCAGGTAAATAATTACAAGGTTTATGGAAGTCATGAGAAAAGATTGTGACAGCTCTTTTCTTGTAATATACAAGAGTAAAGTGGTCTTTTATGGTTAGTCATTTCTTGGAACATAAACGAATGGCAGAAGTAGTGGTGGTTTCTTAAATGCTGCTACTTCCTAGGAACACAAAATTCAGATAAAGTTCAACGTTGTTAAAATATTTATAAGAGTTGCTAAGCCACATTGTCTTATTTGTTCTGGAAAACAAGATATACTCCTCAAATGTGAAAAAAGAAGAGCAGTATTAATTACTAAAATGAAAACTTGAATATATTTTTTATAATTGTATGTAATAGCATATATGACTATGCAAGAACTATTTCTATGGGTATAATAAACAAAACGTTTTTCTCCAAAAGTAAGTAAAAAAGGAATATAAACTAATCTCAAGAAGTTAACCCAGAAGTAAACCTTCACAATGAGGCATCAGTAACAATGTTTTAACATTTCCTTACTTAGAAATGATCTAGATAGCTAATGAATATCAATTAATTAACTGAAGTTAGTATCAGTTCAAGGTTAAGTTAACTAAATACCTTGCACACTATTGTCAAGCTGACATCTTAGAACACCTAACTACTATTAAAATTAAGTTTTTCAGAATAGTAGAAGACAAAAAAACAAAAAACAAAAAACAAAAAAAGAATGATTAGACCAAAGTGTGGTTTTTTAAATGAGAGTGGAAGTATCAGATAGTAACCATTTTTGAAGGATTTCTCTAAGAATGAATGAGCTAACACCCCCAAAACTGGCATGGATAAAATGTTGTTCTAGACAGTGAAAACAGTATGGAATATGAGGAAAAATAGATAATAGAGATGACAGAAATTTAGTACAGTTTAGTCAGAGTACACTGAAGAGAGAAGAGAGGTGGACAAAAGATATGGATAATGGCCAGAGCCTGTTCATACACATTAATGAATTTAGATTTTAGCTGTAGAGTAATGCAAAACTATAACTGAATTCTCTAAAAAGAAATGTGACATGTGTGTTTAAACTAGTTCTGCTGCAGCCTGTAAAATGTATCACATGGCAACAAATTAGGTGCTAGGGAGACCAGTGAGGAAGCTTTGTTCACGCAATAGATAATATAGTTATTGTGCAATCACCCTGGCAATAGGCATGAGAGCAACGCAATGTCATCTCGTAAAGTTCTCAAAAATGCCTACCTTAGTTAATGGAAGTTTTAAAAATGTAATAGACCCATCATTTATGGTCATACTCATGTAATTCAAAATATTAATTTTAATTATGAAAATACATTTGTGAATATTATCTTCCTTTTATAAAAATCTTCCACAAAACAAGAATTAGAAAAATGATATTGATTCTTCCAATCCATGAGCATGGAATATTTTTCCATTTGTTTGTGTCATCTACGGTTATATTCAGCAGTATTTTTTAGTTTTTCTTGTACAGATCTTTTACTTCTTGGTTAGCTGTATTCCTAGGTATTTCATTGTTAGGGTTCAATCAAGCTGATGGGAAAAATATTAAATATAGTTATAGTAATAGTCAAAAACTCTCTTGGAAGGCCGTGAGAGTTTGCATAGCTTCAGATTGCTTGGTGGAAGGCAGCCAGGGTCTCTTTTCAGGAGCCAGAAAGATTAGGGTGCAAGTACAAAGGAATGTGGGAAGTTTATCTTACTAACCTGTTTACTTATATGGGCTTAAGACTGACCTTTGTCCTACCGCGGGTACTTTACTGCCTCCTACTGGGAGCGGGTGGGGATTGGCAGAAGTTTATCACCCGCAAATGGTGTTTGCTTTAGGCCTGGGAACCTGGCCTTTAATCTTTACCCTCTAGTGGTGTTTACTCACAACTTTTGTTAATTAGTCTTACTGAATAAATGTGAGTCTCACTAGCTGATCATGGCCGAGTCGCAACTGTTTACAGAACTCAGCTTGGAGCCTGTAAGCGGCTCGGACCCTCAGCTGGACTGACAGTGCAGAGTATCTGCGTATCAGTGTACTTTATTCATCTGTCGCTGAATCAGGGCTCTGCAGGAACAGACCCCCTGCAGCTAGTGCCCCCGTGAAAGGAGCGCTGCCTCATTTCATTTTCTTTGTGGCTGTTATAACTGGGATTGTGTTCCTAATTTAACTCTCAGCCTGGACGTTATTGGTGTATAAAAAATACCACTGATTTTTGTACATTGATTTCCTATCCTGAAACTTTACTAGAGTTGTTTATCAATTCTAGGAGCCTTTTGGCAGAGTCTAGGATTTTCCAGGAATAGAATCATGTCATCAGCAAAGAGAGATAGTTTGACTACTTCTTTTCCTTATTTGGAGGCTTTTCATTTATTTCTCTTGCCTGATTGCTCCGGCTAGGACTTCGAGTACCACATTGAATAGTAGTGAGAGTGGGCAACCTTGTCTTGTTCCACTTCTCAAGGGGAATGGTTTAAGCACTTGCCCATTCACTATGATGCTGGCTGTGGAATTTTCATAGATATGTCTTATTATTTTATGGTATGTTCCTTCAATTCTTACTCTGTTGAGGGTTTTTATCATGAAGGGATGTTGGATTTTATCGAAAGCTTTTCTCTGTGTATCTTGAGATGATCATATCGTTTCTGCTTTTGATTCTGTTTACGTGGTGAATCACACTTACTGCTTTGAATTTGGTGACCCAGCCTGGCATCCCAGGAATAAAGCCTACTTGATCATTGTATATTAACTTTTTGACGTGCTGCTGGATTTGATTTGCTAGTGTATTTTGAGGATTTTTGCATCTGTGTTCATGAGGGATATTGGTCTGAAGTTTTCCTTTTTTCATTGTGTCTCTGCGGATTTCAGAGGACAACAAAAACAAGTAATTGGGAAAAGACCCCCTTTTCAACAAATGATATTGGGATAACTGGCTAGCCATATGCAGAAGATTGAACGTGGACTCTTACCTTTCACCATATACAAAAATTAACTCAGAATGGATTAAAGGTTTAAATGTAAGGCTGCAGACTATAAACATTCTGGAAAACAACCTAAGAGATACTATTCTCAATATCAGCCTTCACAGAGAATTTTTGGCTAAGTCCTCAAAAGCAATTGCAGCAAAACCAAAAATAGACAAGTGGGCCCTAATTAAACTAAACAGCTTCTGCACAGCAAAAGAAACTATCAACAGAGAAAACAGACAACCTACAGAGTGGGAGAAGATATTCACAAACTATGCTTCTGACAAAGGCCTAATATCCAGAGTCTATAGGCAACTTAAACAACAAGCAAAAAACAAATAACCCCGTTAAATACTGGGCAAAGAACATGAACAGACACTTCTCAAAAGAAAACATACATGTGATCAACAAACATGAAAAAATGCTCAACATCACTAATCATCAGAGAAATGCAAATGAAAAACCAATGAGATACCATCTTATACTAGTCAGAATGGCTATTGCGATAAAACCAGAAATAATAGATTCCGGTGGCAGCTGCAGAGAAAAAGGAATGCTTATACACCATTGGTAGAAATGTAAGTTAGTCCAGCCACTGTGGAAAGCAGTCTGAAAATTTCTCAAAGGTAGTTATTAAAACAGAACTACTATTTATCCCAGCATTCCCATTACTGAGGATATACATAAAGGGAAATAAATTATCCTACCAAAACATCACATGCACTTGTTTGTTCATTGCAACACTATTCACAATAATAAAGACATGGAATCAACCCAGGTACCCATCAACGAAAATTTGTTACACCATGGAATACTATGCAACCATAAAAAAGAACAAAATCATGTCCTTTGCAGCAGCATGGATAATGCTGGAGGTCATCCTAAGCAAATTAATGCAGGAACAGAAAACCAAATACCACATGTTCTCACTTATATGTGGAGCAAAGCATTGAGCACACATGGACATAAATATGGAAGTAATAGATACTGTGGACTACTAGAGAGTGGAGGGAGGGGAGCTGTTTAAAAAACTACCTGTCAGATAAGTACTATACTCACTACCCGGGTGACTGGATCCATACTTCAAACTTCATCATTGTGCAATATTCCCATGTAACAAATCTGCACATGTACTCCCTGAATCTAAAATATTGAAATAAAAAAAAAGTGTATTAATGAGAAAAAATTATGTTTTTGTGTTGTTTATGTGCAAAATGTATATAGCTAAGTATTAAATGAGTATGTTTTATGGTAAGATTAAATAAAAAATTACCTATAACATAATTAAATTGGTGAAAATTAAGAAATTATAGAAAATTTTAAATAAGAATTTTCTTTGAAATTTAACACATGAGAAATGTATTAAAATTGTCAGAAAAATCATAGGAAATATTTTGAGTAACATCTCAAAAGGTAGAGCAAAAGACAAAGTTATATAAAATTGGAGTCTGTCTAGGAAGTCCCCTGAAAGTAACTGAGTGAATAAGGAATTTTAAAAAGACATGAACACTAATACAGAAAATATAAAACACAAACTTCCAGAATTAAAGGTCTCATCAAATTGTCAGTATAATTACAGAAAAATATAGCCATATGAAGTTGAATCATCATTGAATTTCAGAGGAGTGAAGATAAAGAGATTCTTAAAAATTATTGAGAAAGAAAAACAGGTTACTAAAAGGATTGACATTATTTCTAAACATCAGCATTAGATGCTAGTGTCATGTCTTCAAAATTTCTGGCTCCAAATTTCCAATACAGAATTCTATACTCAGGCAAACTATGAGTATAAGGGAAAGAATAATGCTGTTTTCAGTCATGATGTATCTTTAAAATTTTCCTGAATTCACCATTTCTCCATAAGCTACTAGAGGATAAGCTCCACAAAATGACTAAACCAGAAGCAGGATAACATAGAATCCATGAAACAGAAGATAAAAAGCACCTTCTAAGTGAAGGGAATACTCTAGATAACATGAAGAAAAATCCAAAGAGGACAGGTAAGCAGCCCACCTAGAGAACAACTAGCTAGATTTGAAGAGGGGAATCAGAAAAATTAATCTGGAAGAAATTTTCTCAGGGAAAAAAATGTAATCAATAAATCAGTGCACACATATAAACACATACTCACACATCTCAACACGGGAAGAAGTTTTACGTTTCTGTTGGCAGTGAATAAAAAAATGGAAAACCAGGCACACCACTCCCCCCAAAATTCAATTGTTCCAGAAAAATGTAAAGTTATATAGCCATAGAAATTTGTTAATTGAATAGTAAATCCTCAGTTGTCACAAATTACAATACTATTTATCCTGAATACCAATTCTGGTAATTCATTACAAGATGAATTCTACATTAGAAGAAATTAAGAAGGAAAGTGAAGTGTGGGTAGATAATATGTATGAGAGACTTAAATCTTTATCCTCCAATTGTGAGAATGTTGTATTAAATATTCAAATATCAGAAAATGGCCGCAAATGTATAGTAGATATAAATGAAAAAGCATACAAAGGGGAAACAACTTAGAATTGTAAACTCTTTCATGAGATTGATAACTAAGGTAAGTGAAGGAAGAATGGGGTATACAATTACTGTGGGTTTTTAAAAAGATTATAAACCTAATTCAGGGAACACTGACATGTATTAATTTAATTTAAAGCTGAATACATTTTAAAACAACCATAGCAAAATATATTGTTCATTTACTTCTCCCATCCAAAACAAAGTGGTAAAAGGCGCAAAGGAGGAATGAGTAGCAACTGCTTTTCCAGATCATGCCTTTCTGTTCCTCTATGCGTGTTTTAGTCAGGGTTCTCTAGAGGGAAAGAACTAATAGGATATATATACACATATATGTGTATATATACACATATATGTGTATATATATCAGACTCCAAGTTCTTCACTTTTGGGACTCAGATTGGCTCTCCTTGCTCCTCAGCTTTATCTATATATATATATATATGTATATGTGTATACATATACATATATATAAAGTATATATAAATTTATATATATAATGTATATGTATTTTATATATGTATATATGTATATATGGGAGTTTATTAAGTGTTAACTTACATGATATATATGTATACATACATGTATGTATATGTGTGTATATATGTATATATGTATACATATATACACATATATATACACACACACACACACACATATACATATATAGGAGAGTTTATTAAATATTAACTTACATGATCACAAGGTCCCACAATAGGCTGTCTGAAAGCTGAGGAGCAAGGAGAGCCAGTCCATGTCCCAAAACTGAAGAACTTGGAGTCCAATATTCCAGGACAGGAAGCATCCAGCACAGGAGAAAGACGTAGGCTGGAAGCCTAGGCCAATCTCTCCTTTTCACATTTTTCTGCCAGCTTTATATTTGCTAGCAACTGATTAGATTGTTCCCACCATATTAAGGGTGGATCTGCCTTCACCAACCCACTGATTCAAATGTTAATCTCTTTTGGCAACACCCTCACAGACACACCCAGGATTGATACTTTGTATCCTTCTATCCAATCAAGTTGACACTCAGTGTTAACCATCACAATGAGGGATCTTGAAGTACATAAAAGGCCAAAACTGAGAGCAATTTAATTATGGACATCTCACTGCAGCAATGTCATAAAAGCATTTTCCATTTTCTTTTCAATAATCAAGTGATCATTACTGATCATCTAGTGAATGACTGAAGAAATTCCTTAGAGTAGGCATTGATGCCTTTCTTGACTGCCCACATTTTGTTTCTGATCTAGCCAGCATCCTCTAATATAACCCTACCTAACTGCTTCTTACTGGTATTTCCATTAATTGGTTTCTACTTATCACTTTGCAAAAAGAAATTGCTACATGAATAATAGGGATATATATTGGGGTATACTTACGTATGCACAGATTTCTATCATTATTATATTCCTGGCAGTTGTCTACCTGCAGTGAACTACATTTTATAGCATCTCTGCTTCACAAATTTAAATATTTTAGGTATTTTTTTTTCTACAAAGACACTTTTAGGATGCAGAAAGGGAGAAAATTGCCAGTGTCAATTATTGTAATGCTTTTACATAATAGGTGTAAGTTGTAGGTCATAAGAACTGCTAGTCTCCCTCTTGTTACTAATAACACAATGCCAATCAAACTCTATATATGTGGCTTTTGAGAGAAGGAATAAAAATGAACAAACACATATTCCTATTAAAAGCATACTTTGAGTACATAAAACAATGTATATTAGGCCAGGTTCCAAACAAAGTGAAAGCAGGAACCCAACAGTGATAACCTCCCTTCCCAGACTTTTTCAAAGATACTATAAATAGAATATGGTTTTAATATTTATGGAGAAGAGGTAGCTTATGGGAGTATTTGGATATTAATTTGCAGAGTAATATCAGATAATGCTCAGATCACTGTAAGCAATCCAAAAAAAGAATTTGCAGAGTATCTCTTTAAGGTGATAATTTATGTTTCACTTATAGGGCAGTGGTTCTTAAACTGGAGTCCATGGATGCCCAAGAATCTGTGGTTAAGATTTGGGGTTCATATACATGCATTTTGAGAGGGAAAATTATATATATAAATGTAAACCACTAGGTAAAAATTAGCAGTCCCCATTATGAATACAAGTGGAATACCAGATTAGTGTCAGGTAGTACATGTAACTTTGTTCCTAATAGAAATAATAAATTTTATATGACAAGAAACATTTATTATAGATATTTTGAAATAAAGCTCATGAAAACTTCAATATTGTCATTATTAAGCATACGTCTGGAACTTATTATCTTAAACACTAACATATATTTTAAAAAAACATTTTCAAAACTATATTGCAATATAATTGGCTTTATTTAAATTAAAATGAAGTCCAAAGGCTTCACTAGACTACCAAAGTGATCCATGGCACAAAATATGGCTTAAAATCTCTGGTGAAATTTAGAAGCAATAATTTTCTGCTTGTGAATTTGGGGATGTTTCAGCATTATATACTCAGGAAAATGTCAAGAAGTCAAATATTACTTGAGAGTGGCTTTGTATAATTTTGTGTGTGTGTGTGTGTGAGAGAAAGGAGGAATAATGGAACATTTGAGAGGTAGTCTAGAATCCATCCAAGTCGAATGTAGGAACATGAGCCATAAAACTTTTGTAGGTCTTTAGACACTTTAAAATACTGTATTGTAGCACTAAGTTGGTAGGGAAAAAGAGAGATTTTCTGGACAGATTAGGGATTCCAAATGTTGTTAGAGACATTCTGAAATGATCACAGTGTGACTTAGTAGTCCATTTTCATGTCATTGATTTTTCACTGGTGACTGAACTTGATGAACAAGCAAGTTCATCAGAAATTGGCTCTAGCACCTAATTTTTTTTTTATCAATTTTATTTTGGTTTTTCTTTTTTCATCTAAATCACATCATATTAATCAGTGTTGCCATCCAGCAATGGAATAAGACTACTCCTGAGAGAGAAAAGTACTTGAAGACTTGAGGTCTTCTTTAGACTTAGCTGCTCAGACTACTGCCAGTCAATAAGAAATCAGAACTTCCTATTTTTGTTTTGATTAATTTCCTCTTTTATTACAAGTTTTATTTCTGATAATGCAAGAACCCTGTCTCTACTAAAAATGCAAAAAATTAGCTGGGCATGGTGGCGGGCGCCTGTAGTCCCAGCTACTTTGGAGTCTGAGGGCTGAGGCAGGAGAATGGCGTGAACCTGGGAGGCAGAGCTTGCAGTGAGCCGAGATTGTGCCACTGGACTTCAGCCTGGGTGACAGAACAAGCCTGCGTCTCAAGAAAAAATAAAAGAAAGAAAGAGAGAGAGAGAAAAAAAAGAAAAGAAGGAAGGAAGGAAAGAAGGAAGGAAGGAAGGAAGGAAGGAAGGAAAGAAAGAAAAAGAAAGAAAGAAAAGAAAGAAAGAAAGAAAGAAAGAAAGAAAGAAAGAAAGAAAGAAAGAAAGAAAGAAAGATTAAAATGCCTAACATAGATTGGAAAGTATTCTTTGTTTTCATTCTAAACTTAGTACTTAGACTAAAATACTCAAGGATGCTTGCTGCATTTACAACTCATATATTGTTGCTAGGAAAGAGAAATCTAGAAGGTCCAGCTCTGTCAGTTGTAACAAATCTTTAGAAATCTCTTCTGAATGTATTTTAGTGACACTGTGAATCATTTGAAACCATTGTGATAACATGGGAAAGTCTGATTTTTATTCTCATTGTAAATTGTAAACCAATACAAACAACCAGATATCATGTATTTTGTTAACCCTTGCATAGACTATATACAGTGAAGTACAGTTACTGGCCAACAAATTTTAGTAAATGATACTAGGGAAAATTTTTCAATAACAGAGAGATAGTAGCACATTATAGAGATTTGTTTTCTTCTCAGTATTTATATTTGTGCTATTTATCACAAGGATTGTGCAACAAGGAGATCTTATTCAGCATCTTGCTTAGGATCATCATGCATATAGCTATTGTAGTTACAAAGATGGTGAGTAATGATTTTATAATAATGTGCCTTTTAAAAATTCACTTTAAGAATAATTCCCGGGATAAAATTATATAACTGGTAATAATTCCTTTGAATGTAGATCTTTCTCTCATTAATTTTAGTCTTCCTACTTAACACACTTTCCCTGAAAAATAACCTGCTTCATTCTATTCATTGACTCTCAGATTTTGTCATTATTACATTATCCTATCTTTGTTATCTTTTGATACATTTTACCTATTAAATTTCCCCTGAGTTGTTTCTCAGCGATATTTAGATGACATCTAATCCTGTCCTAGACATTTGGTTGTCTTATGCTGATACTTCATTTTCATCAACTTGATTACCAGTGTTTGATTCCATTTATACAATTGACAATGTCTTAACAGTAGAGAGAATAACAGAAAACCAATGACAAAAGTCCTTGAAAATCTTCTTCTGAGACGGTGGTAATAACATTTTAACACCTTTGAAATAGACCTGAAAAAATGGCATGTTGTTTTTCCTTTAACCTTTCTTACTGAAAACTTTTATCACCTAGTTTTGGTTGCTTTCAATGTTCATCAGTGATATTGGCCTGAAGTTTTTTTTATTAATATTGTTGTCGTATCCCTGTCAGGTTTTGGTATCAAGATGATGCTGGCCTCATAAAATGAGTTAGGGAGGAGTCCCTCTTTTTCAGTTGTTTGAAAAAGTTTCAGAAGAAATTGTACCAGCTTCTCTTTGTACCTCTGGTAGAATTCACCTGCAAATCCTTCTGGTCTGGGGCTTTTTTTGTTGGTATGCTATTTATTACTGCCTCAATTTCAGTACTCATTACTAGTGTACTCAGGGATTCAGCTTCCTCTTTGTTCAGTTTAGGGAGGGTCTATGTGTTTCGGAATTTATCCATTTCTTCTGGATGTTCTAGTTTATTTGCATATAGGTGTTTATACTATTCTCTGATGGTTGTTTGTATTTCTGGGGTCAGTGGTGATAGCTACCTTATCATTTCTGTTTGTGTTTATTTGAATCTTCTCCCTTTTCTTCTATATTAGTCTAGCTAGCAGTTTATCTATTATATGAATCTTTTTTCAAAAAAAAAAAAACAAGCTCCTGGACTCATTGATTTTTTGAAGGGTTTTTCATGTCTCTATCTCCTTCAGTTCCACTCTGATCTTGGTTATTTCTTATCTTCTGCTGGCTTTGGGGTTTGTTTGCTCTTGGTTCTTCATTTCTTTCAGTTGGGATGTTAGGATGTCAATTTGAGATCTTTCTAGCTTTTTAATGTGAGCATTTAGTGCTATAAATTTCCCCCATAACACTACTTCAGCTGCATCCTAGAGATTCTGGATGTTTTCTCTTTGGTCTCATTAGTTTCAAAGAACTTCTTGATTCTTGCCTTAATCTCATTATTTACCCAGGAGTCATTCAGGAGGTTGTTAAATTTCCCTGTAGTTGTGTGGTTTTGAGTGAGTTTCTTAATCTTGAGTTTGAATTTGATTGTGCTGTGGTCTGAGATACTGTTTGTTAAGACTTCAGTTCTTTTTCATTTGCTGAAGAGTGTTTTACTTCCAATTGTGTGATCAATTTTAGAGTAAGTGCCATGTGGCACTGAGAAGAATGTATATTCTATTGTTTTTGGGTAGATCGTTCTGTAGATATCTATCAGTTTCACTTGATCCGGAGCTGAGTTCAAGTCTTGAATATATTTGTTAACTTTCTGTCTCAATGATCTGTCTAATATTCACAGTGGGATGTTAAAGTCTCCCACTGTTATTGTGTGGGAATCTGTCTGTTTGTAGGTCTCTAATAACTTGTTTTACGAATCTTGGTGCTTCTGTGTTGGTGCATTATATTTAGGATAGTTAGTTCTTCTTGTTGAATTGAACCCTTTTCCATGAAGTAATGTCCTTCTTTGTCTTTTTTGATCTTTGTTGGTTTCAAGTCTGTTTTGTCAGAAGCTAGGATTGCAACCCCTCCCTTTTTCTGCTTTCCATTTGCTTGGTAGATTTTCCTCCATCCCTTTATTTTGAGTCCATGTGTGTCTTTGCACATAAGATGGGTCTCTTGAATACAGCATACCAATGGGTCTTGACTCTATCCAGCTTGCCATTCTGTGTCTTTTGATTAGGGCATTTAGTCTCTTACATTTAAGGTTAATATTGTTACGTGTGAATTGATCCTGTCATCATGATGCTAGCTGGTTATTTTGCAGACTTGTGAATGTAGTTGCTTCATAATGCCATTGGTCTCTGTACTTTAGCGTGTTATTTTAGTGGCTGGTAATGGTTTTTTCTTTCCATATTCACTGCTTCCATAAAGGCTCTTGCAAGGCAGGCCTGGTGGTAATGAATTCCCTCAGCATTCGCTTGTCTGAAAAAGATTTTATTTCTCCTTTGCTTATGAAGCTTAGTTTGGCCAGATATGAAATTCTGGGGTGGAAATTCTTTTCTTTTAGAATGTTGACTATTGGCCCCCTATCTCTTCTGGTTTGTAGGGTTTCTGCTAAGCAGTCCACTGTTAGACTGATGGGCTTCCCTTTGTAGGCGACCTGGCCTCTCTTTCTCTCTCTGGCTACCCATAACATTTTTTTTCCTTTATTTTGACCTTGGAGAATCTGATGATTATGTATCTTGGGGTTGATCTTCTCATGAAATATTTTACTGGGGTCCTCTGGATTTCTTAAATTTGAATATTGGCCTATCTTGCTAGATTGGGGAAGTTCTCTTGGACAATATCCCAAGTATGTTTTCCATCTTGGAAAGAGACCATTTTCCCTGGTCTTTTTAATCCCATAGTTCTTAGAAGATTTGTTCATTTATTTTCATTCTTTTTTCTCTAATCTTGGCATCCTGTCTTATTTCAGTAAGATAGTCTTCCAGCTCTGAAATTATTTCCTCCACTTGATCTATTCAGCTGTTGATACTTGTGATTACATTGTGAAATTCTCGTCTTGTATTCTTCAGCTCTATCAGGTCATTTATGTTCCTCTCTAAACTGGTTATTGTGATTAACAGCTCCTGTAATGTTTTATTATTGTTCTTATCTTCTTTGCATTGTGTTAGAACATACTCCTTTAACTCAGCAAAGTTTATTACTGCTTACCTTCTGAAGCCTACTTCTGTCAGTTCATTCATCTCAGCCTCAGCCCAGTTCTGTGCCCTTGCTGGAGAGGTGTTGCAATCATTTGGAGGAGAAGAGGCACTCTAGATTTTTGAATTTTCAATGTTTTTGCATTGATCTTTTTTTCATCTTCATGAGCTTATGTACCTTCAATCTTTGAGGCTGCTGTCCTTTGAATGAGGTTTTTGTGAAGTCTCTTTTGTTGATGTTGTTGTTGCTTTCTGTTGGATTTTCTTTTAGCAGTCAGGCCCCTCTTCCGTGGGACTGCTGCATTTTGCTGGGGGTCCACTCCAGACCCTATTCTCCTATTCCCCTGGGTCCCTCATGCACCTTGAGGTTTCACCATTGGATGCTGCAGAACATCAAAGATGGTTGCCTGCTCCTTCCTCTGGGAGCTCTGTCCCGGAGGGGCACTGACCTGATGGCCATGGGAATGCCCTTGTATAAGGTGTCTGGCAACCCCTGTTGTTAAGGGAGTCTCACCTAGTCAGGAATCATACAGTCAGGGACCCACTTAACAAAGCATTCTGTCTTCTCCTTGGTGGAGTGGGTGCACTGCGCTGGGGAAAATCCCCCTTTTCTGGACTGCCCAGCCTCTTTAGAGCCAGCAGGGCAGGAAGGACTAAGTCTGCTGAACTGGAGACCATGGCCACCTCTCACCCAGGGCCTTGTTCCAGGGAGATTGGAGTTCTGTCCATAAATCCCTGGCTGGAGTTGCTGAAATTCTCATAGAAATGTCCCTACCCAGTGAGAGGGAATGAATCTGGGTCTCATTTAAAGAAGAATTTTGGCCATGACCTACCACAGCTGCTGTGCTGCACTGTGGGAAATTCCTCCCAGTCCAAACCACTCAGTCTCCCCAACACTATCAGGGAAAAATGGCAGACTGGAGCTGCAGTGATGGTGGCCCCCTCCCCCAGTAAATTTGGTAGTAGTCTTAGGTAGTTTTCAGCCTGTTGCTGCTGGCTGCAACATGAGTGGCCACTGAGCTTCTGCACAGCTCTGTGCTTGGGACTCAAGGCCTCGGTGGCGTGGGCTCACAAGGGGATCTCCTGATCTGAGGGTTGCAAAGATATATGGAGAAAGCATGGTTTTCTGGGCAGGTGGCACAATCACTCACCACCTCCCTTGGCTGGGGGTAGGAGCTTCCCTTGCCTTATGCACCTCCTGGGTGGGCCGTCACTCCACCCTGCTTCTTCTTGCTCTCTGTGGGTCTCACCAGCTGCCTAGTCTGTCCCAATGAGAGAACCTGGATACCTCAGTGGAAGGTGTAGGATTCACTCACCATTTTGTTCTTCTCTGTGGGAGCCCCCAGTGGGCAGCTGCTTCTAGTCAGTCATTTTGGCCTCTTCCCCTTGGTTGCTTTGTATGAGGATTCAATTTATGAAAGTCAATACAACATACTTATTAAGTGCATAAATTTTGAAATTTGACTGCCTAATATTTAATGATAGCCCTACCACTTATTGGCTGTGTAATTTTGGGTAAGCTACTTTACCTCTTTTGCTTCCTCACCTCTAAAATGGCAGCATTCTATTGGTCAAAGAGACTGACAGAAGAAGCTCATATTGAAGACAATGAAGAAATATACTCCACTGTTGATGAGAAGAGTAGAGACATCACATTGCAAAGGAATTTGGATATAAGGAATGTAATTCATTGGAAGCCATTATCATCATGATACACAACCTTTTTACTTTTTTATTTTTTTGAGACAAGTTCTCACTCTGTCACTCAGGCTGGAGTACAGTGGTATAATCAGTGCTCATTGCAGCCTTGACCTCCTGGGCTCAAATCATCTTCCAGCCTCAGGCCTCTGAGTAGCTGGGACCACAGGTGTATGCCACCATGGCCAGCTAATTTTTGTATTTTCTATAGAGATGGGATTTTGCCATGTTGCCCAGGCTGGTCCCGAACTCCTAGGCTCAAGCGATCTGCCCAACTCAGCCTCCCAAAGTGCTTGGATTATAGGCATGAGCCACCATATCTAGCCAAATTTAACCTTTTTAAGATAACTTATTTGGGTTATAATCTTCCATATTTCTGCTCATTAGATTAAATTTTGATTCTCTATAGGGAAAAATGGATGTTTTCTATCAATCTGTTCTTCCCAAAGCTCTTTCTTTAGTTAAGAAAAAATTAGACTTTTGAAATAAAAATTAGTTTATTCCATAAATGGTTTAAGGTAATTTCTCTGAAAGTATCTCTCTGGAAAGATATTCATCAGAAATTTTATGATGTTTATAAGAAATGCATATTCCTGAATCCAACCTAACAGTCTTCAACAGGAGGGCACAAGGCATGATTTTTACTGCTAACACAAATTTGGAGTGCTTATTTCTAGTACTAATATTAGAGAACTATTCTTTTATAAACTACTGGCCTCCCAAATTGACTGCACAAAAATGATATATATGTTTTCCTATAAGACTCAGATGCCTCTGTATTATCTATAGTGTGACAAAAGTAGCTATAGTACTGGCTGAATTTTATTTCACCATCATTTATAACATTTTAACTAAGGATGTATGTCCTCTGTGTTCTAACTCAGAAAGCCAGTTATATAGCCTCTCACCCCTGCCCTGGCTTTGGAGTGTAACTGATACAGTTACAAGAATAGTTTCTGTGCCTGAGAATGAAGGTTCTAAGCAGCAGAAGCTGGGTAGATAGGTACTCTTGGAATACAGTATATTAATTCCCACAGAGAAGCCAATAAATAAAGTGGGGGGCTTGAAATGAGGATGAGGTCTTGCATACATGCAGGTAGAGTATAAGAGTCACCAGGATTTAGGCATATGGTTAACCTCTATTTTATTCACATGCTATGTATCTCAAAGTCTTGCTAAGAATATATTTCAGGCAGAAAGGAGTTAATACCCTTGGAGGAAGGATAGAATACATATCAGAGAAGATGTGTGATGGTATCAGGAAATTTTCAAGTTTCATAACTTACAGGAAATCAGCACTTATAATTTCAGCTACCTGCAGCACCTAATTAATTCATTTATAGGAGAATATCTGGAAGAGAGCATAACCTTACTTTTAGCTGAAGTCAATGTGCCTGCCAACTGTTAGTGGAACAAAAATAAATTCTGGTCCTCTTCTGTCTCCAAAATCTTATGACAGTGTCTCTCTTTGGCAGACTCTAAATTAGAACTCAGCTAGGAAGTGAGTCTGAAGAATGTGATTTCTAGAACTCCAGCCCCAGAGATACAGGAGACAAATTAGAGTTGAATACATTGCTGAGTATTAATAGATATTACCTAATTGTCTAAACCATATAATAGTGTAACAGCATATATATATGTATAATAGTATAACAGTATATATAAAAAACACTATATATGTATATATAATACTGTATATATATACAGTATATACACTGTGTATATACTGTATATACAGTATATATAATACTGTATATATGCAGTATATATAATATATTATATAATATATTATATACTATAGTATATAATAGTATATAATATATTATATATAATATATATTATATACTATAGTATATAATATATATTATATACTATAGTATATAATATATATTATATACTATAGTATATAATATATACTACATAGTATATATAGTATGTAATATAATGTTTTATATATATGTTATATATAACAGTATATAATATAATGTTTTATATATGTTATATATATGTTATATATAACAGTATATAACAGTATATATAATACAGTATTTTATATATATAATATATATATTATATATATAATATATATATTATATATATAATATATATATTATATATATAATATATATATTATATATATTATATATATAATATATATATTATATATATAATATATATATTATATATATATATAATATATATAAGTATAACAATATAATAGTACTGTTCTTCCTTCTCCCGGATTAAGAGACTGGGGTGATTTTTAGAATGCATATTCATAGTGTATCCCCACTAGTACCAAAGAATCTCCAGTTAGGAGCTATACTGCTAAACCCTGAAGTAATCTTTACTCATACTAAATTTTAAGAGCCACTGCCCTACAAGAATCAAATTCTTACAGGTTCTGAATGAAAAACTAAATGTGGAATGAAGTCTGGAATCAAAAGTCTAATCATATATGTACTTATACATAAGTATACACTTGAATTTTCAGTGATACTTATCAAATTAATAAAATTACTACAATGGCTTTAGACCTAATAGTAGATAATTTAAAAACACATTACAAAAATGTGAAAGACAGTTAAATAAAGATTTTGGCATAAAGAGCAAAATGATAATTTTATAAGAGTAATTTTATAGTTTCTTCTTAAAAGTTGTGATTCTTTTCATGTTTCTATAGTAAAGCAGCAATTAAGGATCTTTTCTACGGGTATTTTAATGAGTTTAAATGGGAATGACAACAAGTTTTAAAAAACTATCTTTTATTTCTAAGGTAGATTGAATTACATTTTAATTACTTATCTTGCTAATAATGTAAATTATATTCATTGTATAATTAACATCATAAGATACATGACACAATCTAATATTTTTGTTGATTTAGGAGAAAGAAGCAGACAATATTCAGTTAAATTCTCTTAATATTAGAGTTACTTCAGATCAGGTTAGATCTGGCTTGAAAGAACTATGTCTCCAAGGAAACTTAACCTTATTCTCTTTCTAAATCTATAAATACTTTCTGGGAGTTACCTCCTTTACTCACAGAGGCTTCTAATGACTTTATAGCAACTGGTGGAAAATTTAACCAAAGCATTTTTAGCTCATTTTCCTTCAGTCTAAAACTTCCAGTACAGGATGAACTTTTTATGAATTTATTTTTGTCCTTTTAACCCTCATCCCCACCCTATCAACACATTCACCTGATTATTTCTTATTCTGTCTGCACTAGTCTGTAATCAGAAGTATTATTCCTTGGTCTGCTCAGTGTTCAAGCCTTTTTTGGGTCAATGCCACCTTAGCTGACATATACTCATTCTTCCAAAATTCACTATACCTTCAAGCAACAGGACAAACTTTTTCTATTTAGGGAAGAACTACAAGACTGATAACCTGACAAAGCAATTACAGTAAAACTCTATTACAAAGCACTTCGCTATTTCACAGATTCGATTATATCTTGGGTCAAACCATGACCACTGTGTACGTTGTACTTCTCCCTTAATATAACAAGAAAAAAGCCTATAAGATAGGTGTTATCTTTTGACATCAGTATTATTACAGTGCCCTCTTTTATTTCATTGATTCATGTTACTGGATAAAAAAATTACTTTCTATGCAATTTTCAAGGATGAGTAGATAAAACGTGTTGTCAAAAAATAATATCAGGCATCATTTTGTCTTATAATGTAACCGTATAGCATTACATATCATCCTAGTTATAAAAATAGAGCTGGCAATTTAGAGTAGTGGTGAAGTATTTTATAAAGTGTGTTTATGGAAGGTGTTATAAGAAGATTAAGAAGATATAATATTAGGCCTAAGTAAAAATATTTATTCATGTGACTGACTAGAGTAGATGCCTCTGATGCCCCCCATCTTACGCCTTCTTCATGCAATTCTGGGCAAGCCTAGACTTGTGCTAAGTTTCCAACTATGAGTGCTGATCTCATCTTTAAGACTGACTTATCCGTTGGGCACAGTGCCTAGGCCCATCCTACTTTTAGGGTCCCAAGAAACTTTTTCATTTTTTTTAAATCAGAAGAAAAAAATAAACTTTTATGTCAGTGAAAGTGTTTAAATATATAATAGTAATACATTTTTCATTATATAAATGCTGTTATAAAATAAAAATTCTAACTTTTTATGGGGGAAGTTACCCACAACAGTCATCATGTGGTCCTGCATTCTTTTCACTTTCTTCATGGTTGCTGGCTTGGCCATAACAGTAGCCAGGAGGTAGAAAACAGGTAACATTCCTGGGAGCAACAGTGTGGGAGCAGAACCGAGATGAATAACTTTGGGAGATACTTTTATGATTTTCTTGAATAAAACAGTACCTGTCTTTCCTCAATTATATCCTCAGATACTCTAAAAGACATCTTGATGTACATTTTTCTGCATCTCTATCTTGAAGTCTAGAGTCAATTTATTTTCCAGTGAACACTAACTCTACACTTCACCACAAATTTCCATTTTTTTTTTGTTTTTGAGACAAAGTTTCACTCTGTTGCCCAGGCTGGAGTGCAGTGGCACAATCTCAGCTCACTGCAATCAATATTTTAAAATATAAAAATATTCTTATAGACTTCTTATTCCAAAATGTATTTTCTTTTGTAATAAAAGATTTATTAAGCTATAATACACATGACATAAAATTCACCATTTTAATGTGTACAATTCAGTGGTTTATACAATATTCACAGAGTTGTACAATCATCACCACTATCTGATTTTTGAACATTTTCATTCCCTCAAAAAAAAAAAAAAAAGAAATCTCACACCCTATTTCTTCTTTTCCCCAGCCCCTGGTAAACATGAATCTACTTCCTGTCTACATGGTTTGGACTATTCTGAACACTCCATATAAATGAGATCATACAACAGGCCGTATTTTGTGACTGATTTCTTTCCCTTAACACAATATTTTTGAAGTTCATCCATGTTGTAGCATGTATTAGTACATTGTTCCTTTTTATGGCCAAATAATATTCTATTGTGTGAATGCATTACTTTTGTTAATACATTCATTTATTAATGAATACTTGAATGGCTTCCACTTTTAAGCTATTAGGAACAATAGTGCTGTGGACATTTGTGTAGACATTTTTGTGCAGACATATGTTTTCAGCTTTCTTGAGTTTTTACTTAGGAATGGAATTGCTAAGGCATATGGTTACTCTATGTTTAACTTTTTGAGGAACTTTCAAATTGTCTTCAAAAGTAGCTTTACATTTTCGTATTCCCACCAGAAATTTTTGAATGTTCCAGTTTTTCCACATCCTTGTCAACAATTGTTGTCTGTCTCTTTTATTTTAGCCATTCTCATAGGTGTAAAGTGGTATCATATTGTGGTTTTGATTAGCATTTCCCTAATGACTAATTATGTTGAGAATTTTTCATATACATATTAGTCATTTGTATATTTGAAGAAATGTCCATTCAAATCCTTGCCTGTTTTTAATTGGATTGTCATTTTCTTTTTGTGCTGTAACAGTTCTTTACATATTCTGCATTCGCTACACTTACATATTATTACAAACATTTTCTCTCACACTGAGTTGTCTTTTCATTTTCTTGATGTTCTTTGAATCACAAATGTATTTTCTTATTTTAATGAAATTTATTTTAACTGTTTCTTTTCTCAATTGTGTTTTAGTGTAAGATCTAAGAAACTATTGCCAGCTCAAGTTCATAAACATTTATTCCTATTTTTTTCTAAGACTTCCATCTTTTTAGTTCTAATATGTAGGTCTATTATCCATTTAAAGTTAATTTTAGTACATGGTGTGAGGTATGTGTCTAGCTGTCCCAGCATGATTTGCTGAAATGGCTATTAAGTTCCCCATTGAATTGTCTTCGTAATGCTAAAATCAATTGAAAATAATAGAGGAGTTTATTTCTGGACACTCAATTCCATTCCATTTATCTACTTGTCTGTCATTTTGCCAGTACCACATTTCTGGATCAATGTAGATTCACAGTAAGTTTTGAAATCAAGAAATGTGAGCCTTCAAATTTTGTTTTTCTTTTTCCAAATTGGTTCTGGGTTGATATGGTTTGGCTGGGTCCCCAACCCAAATGTCATCTTGAATTGTAGTTCCTACAATTCCTACATGTCATGAGGGGGACTTGGTGGGACGTAATTGAATCATGGGGGTGGATCTTTCCCATGCTGTTCTTGTGATAGTGAATAAGTCTCACAAGATATGATGGCTTTATAAAGGGGAGTTTCCCTGCATAAGTTCTCTTCTCTTTTCTGCCGCCATATGAGACTAGCCTTTCACCTTCCCCCATGATTGTGAGGCTACCCCAGCCACGTGGAGCTGTGAGTCCATGAAACCTCTTTCTTTTGTAAATTGCCCAGCCTTGGGTACATCTTTATCAGCAGTGTGAAAATGAACTAACACATGGGTGTTCTGTGTCATTTGCATTTTTATATGAATTTTAAGATCACCTTTTTGTTTTTGTTTTTTGAGACAGATTCTGACTCTGCTGCCCAGGCAGGAGTGCTGTGGTGCCATCTTGGCTCACTGCAACTTCTGCTGCCTAGGTTCAAGTGATTCTCCTGCCTCAGTCTCTTGAGTAGCTAGGATTATAGGCACCCACCTCCACATCTGGCTAATTTTTGTATTTTTAGTAGAGACAAAGTTTCACCATGTTGGCCAGGCTGGTCTTGAATTCCTGACATCAAGTGATCCACCAACCTTGGCCTCCAAAAGTGCTGGAATTATGGGCGTGAACCACTGCACCTGGCCCAGATCAGCTTCTTAGTTTGTGCAAGAAAGATATCTGGTATTTTGATTGGGATTATGCTAAATCTGCAGATTAATTTGAGGAATTTTGTCTCAATATAATAAACTCCTTTCTACAAATATGGGATTTTTGATGTTTATTTAGTATTTCTTGAATTTCTTTTGCCATGTTTTATAATTTTAAGTGTATAAATCTTCCACTTCCTTTGTAATATTTATTCCTGTTTTATTCTTATTGTTACTATCATAAATAGTTTTATTAGTTTCATTTTCAGATTGTTCATTGCTTGTCTATAAAAATAAATTGATTTTTGTTGACTAGTCTTATATATAGCAACTTTGCTAGACTCATTTATTAGCTCTATAGTTTTATAAATTGATTCTTTAAAATTCTTTATATGTAAGCCTAGGCCATCTGCAAATACTTTCTTTTATTTGCCTGAGTTCTCAGGCTAGGACCCCTATTTTAGTATTAAATAAAAGTGGTGAGAATAACATCCTTCTTGTATTGGTCCTGATTTTAGGTAAAAGCTTTCAGTCTTTCACCATTAAGTATAATATTAACTACGGATTTTTTTTTGCTACTCTTTATCAGATTTAAGAAATTCCCTTCTGTTCCTACTTGTTAGATAGTTTAAAATTAGAAGGATATTGGATTTTGTCAAATGCTTTTTCTTTTTTTTCTTTTGAGACGGAGTCTTCTTGCTCTGTCGCCCAGGCTGGAGTGCAGTGGCGTGATCTCGGCTCACTGGAAGCTCTGCCTCCCGGGTTCATGCCATCCTCCTGCCTCAGCCTCCTGAATAGCTGGGACTACAGGCACCTGCCACCACGCCCGGCTAATTGTTTTTTACATTTTTAGTAGAGACGGGGTTTCACCGTGTTAGCCAGGATGGTCTCGATCTCCTGACCTTGTGATCCACCCGCCTCAGCCTCCCAAAGTGCTGGGATTACAGGCATGAGCCACCGCACCTGGCCCCTTTTTCTACATATATTTTGACCTACTGGTTATTTAAGAATATATTGCTTAATTTTCACCTATTTATAAAATGCCCAAATTTCTTTCTAGTATAGACTACTAATTTGATTCTATTGTGTTTGGAAATTGTAATTTGGGTCATCTAAATCTTTTAAAATTTATTGACACTTATTTTATGGTCTAACATATGATTTGGTCTATCCTGATAAATGTTTCATGCACACTTCAGGATAACGTATGTTCAGCTTTTGTTGTATAGATTGTTCCCTAGTTGTCTAAGATTACTTGATTTTTTCATGTTGTCTTTTATTTTTGTGTTCATCTTCTGTCTAGTTGTTCTATTATTTAAAATAGGATATTAAGTCTCCAGTTATTATTGTTGACTTGTTATTTTCCCTTCAGTTACATCAGCCTTTGCTTGATGTATTTTAGAGCGGTGTTTTAGGTGCATACATGTTTATAGTTGTTACATGTTTTTGATGGTTGAACACTTTCATTATCACAAAATGCTCTTCTTTGTCTCCAGTTATACTTTTTGTTTTAAAGTCTATTTTGTTTGATAATAATATAGCAGCTGCATATCTTTGTATTATGTATTTATTTCCTTCCTTTTACTTTCAATCTATGTATGTCTTTGACTCTAAAGTACATCACTTACTGACAATATAGAGTTGGATCATGTTTTCTAATCACTTCTGCCAGTCTGCCGTGTGAGGTTTTTTTTTTTTGAGTGTTTAATCTGTTTAAGTTAAATTTAAGTAGTTATAAAGTATAAAACTTAAATTTGATATTTTTGTTCAGTTATTTCTTTTTTTACTGCTTCTTTTGTGCAAAATACATATTTTCTATAGTGTTACTTTACTTCCCTTTTGTTTTCTTTACCATGTGCTGAAAGTTATTTTCTTGGAAGATTCCCTGAGGATTACAGATGACATCTTAGCTAAAACAATGTGGTTTCCATGAAGGCCAGCAATTTATATAGTATAAAAAACTTTGTCATAATATAGCTCCATTCCCCACTTCTTTGTCCTGTTTTCTTACAAATGAACATCTTTATATATTATAAACCCATCAACACAGTTTTAATTTATTTGTTCAGAAACAAATTATTACAAAGAAAAATAAATTTATAAAGTATTTCATATTTATCTGCACAACAGTGTTCTTTATTTCTTCCTGTGGATTTGAATTGCTCTTTGATAGCTTTTGCTAAGGAATTCACTTTAGTGTTTCTTATAGGACAAGTTTCCTAGTGATAAAGTCTATTTTTTGTTTATTTAGTTAGTCTTAATGTCTCATTAAAATTAAAAGAATAGTTTTTCTGACTACAGACTTCTTTGTTGAAATTGTTTTTTCCCCCTACTACTTTGAATATATTGTCCCACAGACATTTGTTCTCCTTTGTCTGATAAAGAATCAACTTTTAATCTTTTTGAGTATTCCTCATATGTGATGAGTTGCTAAACTCTTGTTCATTTCAAAATCTTTGTCTTTTATCAGTTTCACTATGATGTGTCTGGGTGTGGATCGCTCAGGTTTATTGTTCTGGAATTAATTGACTTCTCAGATGAACAGATTCATATCTTCATTAAATATGAAAAGATTTTTAAAAATAAAAATATTTTTAAAAATATTCTTTCTGTCCCTTTCTCACTCACCTCTTGAGACTTCAATTATGTACATGTTAATATGCTTGATGGTATATCATAGGATTCTGATGTTCTGTTCATTTTTCTTTATTCTTTTTCTTCCCCTGCTCCTCAGACTGGATAATTTCAACGGACCAGCCTTCAAGTTCAATGATTCTTTTTTTTAAGAAAAAAATAAGTTCAAGTCTGCTGTTTATCCTCTCTAGTGAATGTTTGAAATTTCAGTCATAGTAAGTTTTAATTATAGAATTATTTTATGTTGTCTTTTAAGAATTCATTTCTATTAATTACTGTTCCCTATTTTGTGAGATATGTTTCATTCATTTGTTCTTTCATTCTTTAGGCATGGTTTCTTTTAGCTGTTTGAACATATTTATAGAACGAAATTAAACTCTGACTACTAAGTCTAATGTCTGAGCTTTCTTAGGGAGAGCTTCTATTGACTCCTTTTTCCCTCATGCATGAGCCAGTCACTTTTTTGTTGTTGTTGTTTTGTTGTGGATATGTTATAATGTTTTCTTAAAAAGTAGACATTGTATATAATATAAGGCAACTGTGCAGATCCCCTTCCCTGGGGTTTCATGTGAAAATCAGATATTCCCCTTCCCTGGGGTTTCATGTGATTGCTGACTGTTGTATTGTTTTTGTTGTTGTTTCTATTTTTTACTTTGTGATTTTTCTGTACTAATTCTATAAAGTTTATATTCTTTGTCTTGTGGAGACACTGAAGTCTCTGCTTTGTTAGTTTCATTGTCAGCTAATATTTGAAAAGAGGTTTTCTTAAGTACCTTGAACCAATAAGTCACCCAGTCTCAGCTTTAGTGGAAGGGCTCTGTGCTTGTATTGGGTTTTGCTTTCAATGCCCTGACAGGTAGTTTAAAAATCTGCCTTTGCTTTCACTTCCTTCTTGTCAGGTTCTCAATGTTTGAGCCGAGAGTTTAAACCTTTTTTCATCTTTCCTTGGCATGTACACAGTCCTGCATGTGAGTATTTTCTTCTTGATTTCCAGGAATATGTTAGAGCTTTCAAAGGCCTGTATTAACTCCCTTACTTTTACGTTTTTTTGTTAGCCTCTCTATTAGTCTGTTCTCATGCTGCTAATAAAGATATACCTGAGACTAGGTAATTTATAAAGGAAAGAGGTTTAATGGACTTACAGATACACATGCCTGGGGGCCTCACAATCTTGGTAGAAGACTAAGGAAGAGCAAAGGGACATCTTACATGGCAGCTGGCAAGAGAGCTTGTGCAGGTGAACTCCCCTTTATAAAACCATCAGATTTCATGAGACTTATTCACTATCAAGAGAACAGCTTGGGAAAGACCCGACTCATAATTCAATTACCTCTCACTGGGTCCTTCCCATGACATGTGAGAATCATGAGAGCTACAATTCAAGATGAGATTTGGGTGGGGACACAGCCAAACCGTATCGCTTCTTCTTACTCCCAGTTATTGTCATCTCAGGCAGGTGAGATTTAAACTGTCAGGGATTGTTTCAGACAAAGTCCCACGGCAAGGGCCTTTTGCCCAGAACAAGATCTGAATTAAGTAAACTAAAGACAAATCCTAAGAATTGAGCTTTTGGGGAATAGTACAAACAGGTATATAGTGACAATTCTCTGATGTTTAGATTTATAGAGAGTTCCAAACTCATTCCTCCTCACCCCTAGTGGTGACTAGGCTGCTGGATTTCACAGCTTCTACTAGCCATTCTGTTAATTTTCAAGGCTTCTGTGCAGCTGGGACCAAGGGATGGGCATAGGGCCTTTTGTATATAACCCATCAAACCTCACTCTTCTTACTGAGATTCATTATTTCTTTCTTGAGTAATGTTTACTTAGATTGTTCCATGACTTTGATCGATTTCCAGAGTTAAGAAAAAGTTGATTTGTAGGATTTTGTCAATATTCCTTTTGCTTTTATGGAGGAGCAGCTTTCCGGAGTTCTTGCTCTTTCTAAAGGGCTGCATCTACAAATATACTTTCAGTCTGCATGGCTGATGTTTTCCTCAATATGCTTAGTACTCAAGTTCTTAAGTAAACAAATACCTAAAGACGGAGATATCCAAATCAAATATGCCACATGGTTCTGGCTTGCTAAATTTAAAGGTGAATTTGCAGTGGCTGTGATTTTAACAGGAGGCTCCTTTTTTTCTTTTTTTTTTTTTTTTTCATTCTGGAACAAAATGAATGTATATCACATTTTGTGAAAACAAAATGAACAGCATGTTTCTTAGTTTGAATTGTACCTTAAATTCCTTTCTAGATCTGGAACTTGTTCAGAACATTTCTTCACAGTTTAATTTCCACTTTCCTCAATAAAAGAATAATGTGTACTCTGTTGTGAACAAATGTTGTAGCTGAACTCTTATATGTAAACTGATACTCAGCACTGTGAGTTATATATTTTCTTTATGTAACTACCACATTACAGAACTTCCAGATGCTCCTGCTTATAAAATGTCTGCATCTAAACATTATCTTCTTAACTTCTATCTGGAAAAAACAGTCTATATGTTCTACATAAAAGTAAACTATTACAATGCCTCTTAACCAAGAGGTACTGCTATATATCTCTTTGACACCATGTTTTATCTTTTTCAAGTACCAAATTAAAAGAAAAAGTCCTACATTATTTACGAAGAAAGACAAAAATTTACTTTTCTGAACTTATGTGATTCTAATTATAAGGTAGTGAATAATATTCTAAAGATAGATTATCACTCTTCTTAATGACAAAACAATTACTTCATAATTTTTAGGTAATGAATGGCAAATTTACACATTTCCCACAATCCTCTCCTTTTCAGTTTTCAGGTTTTATTTATATTTTTTCTCTAGCAAGTATCAGCCACTTGAATACTATTTATTCCCTAACTACCAGATATCAGTTGGAAGCTCTTTGAAGAAAGAGATTATATTGTAGTCACTTTACTTTGCCTAGTTTCTATCATTCTGCCAGTATTAAAAAAGCAGATAAAATTATTAATATTTGATCATTTTGCTTTTCAAAAATGGAATATCAGGTGGTTCAACTTAATATACTTATGTCTGGGATGAGTAAAATATCAGAAAAGAATTCATAGAACAGTAGGAATTTGACCCCATTTCAGGATTTATTTTTGGAAACAGTGAATTTGTTAATCACCACATTAAATATTAGATAAATAATTCTTAATGTCTAATGTGAAATGTTCTATTATTTTCCTCCTGACTTTAATTATGATCGATAAAACTTGTTCATCTCTAGAAAGATAACATTGAGTCAAACTACAAACATCAGTTAAGATGACTTTTGCTGGAAGAAATTAAAATATTGACTCATTCTGGATTAAAGACTAAAGACTCTTTAGCTTGCA
Organism: Homo sapiens; assembly: GCF_000001405.40. Taxonomy (NCBI): domain Eukaryota; kingdom Metazoa; phylum Chordata; class Mammalia; order Primates; family Hominidae; genus Homo; species Homo sapiens. The sequence continues at coordinate 91,988,435 of NC_000004.12, read as the reverse complement.
AGTAGGAATCCATAGGATTAGAGGACTCAGGATCAGCATATTTAAGTGGTTCCATTTTACTGTGATACTCTTACATATGTTCTTTTTGTTTGCTGTCTTCAGATCTTACACCACGAGGTCCAGAACACAATGGAGGTCATGTTTCATATTTGCTTTCTCTTGAGTGTGAGCATCTCTGAAAAATCCCAGCCTATTTATGCATAAATTTACATTAGTCCAAAAGATGGATTTTCTAAGCTTCCTCGGAAGTTCAAGGGATGCATGGGTACAAGCTTAAACACTGAAACAGTATTTGGGTTTTGTGAGGTGAATTAAAAAGACAGATTTGATTCCTGGGCAGAAAATATTTTTCCCCAATATAACATAGATTTTATTTAAAAAGATCTCCTTGGAGAAAACAGAAATTTCTGTTAGCTGGTAAAACAGAAGTAGAAGTAAAGTAAAAGGGCCATTCAGTATTTCCATTTAGAGTTGACATATTGAGTAATGTTTTCTACCAGTCTTAATACCACCCTAGCAGTATAGATTCAGCCAATTTACAGAATAATAATCATGTTCTACATGCCAAATAATTATCAACTATTCTGCTGGTCTTGGAACATCCTCAGTAATCTATTTTATTTTGATAACTTATATGGTAAAATTTCTTTTCTCACTTTCTTAAATTTTGCTGAGCTTTTCCACATGTTAGCAAATTTACTTTTTTCTTAACTAAGCATAATGGTTTCCAATACTGAATATGGCAAAAATTCAATACTTTTAGCTCTATTTCAAATAATGTAAAAATCATATGTTTGCTTATTACTCTGTAATTCTGTTTAATTCCATCATATTTACCAAAAAGTCCTGCATCCTTTTTGAGTCTTCTCATATGAGACATTTATATAGTATTTTTACAAAATGTTTTTGATTTTTCAAAATGGTCTTAAATATCTCATCAGATTTATTCCCAAGTGCCTTATAATTTTTATCATATTATGAATAGATACTTCTACTTTTATTTTTATTTATTTTCTAATTTTTTATTTTGGTCAAATTTTTAAAATGTTGATTGTCGTCTGTATACCTAGTGCTATGGATCAAATATTTATGTTCCCCCAACTTTCATATGTTAAAATCCTCTCCCTCAAAGTAGTAGTATTAGTAGGTGGGACTCTTCAGTAGGTGATTAGATCATGAAGGCAGAGCTCTTATAAGTGGGATTTGTGCCCTTACAAAGTAGGCCCAAGGGAGATTATATCCCAATTCTACCATGTGAGGACACAATGAGAAGGAACAATCTATGAATTAGAAAGTGTGCCTTCACCAGATACTGATTCTGCTAGTTACTTGGTCTTGGACTTCCCAACATCTAGAACTGTAAGAGATACATTTCTGTTGTTTGTCAGCTACCCAGTTCATGGTATCTTATTGTAGCAATCCAGATAGACTAAGACACCTAGATAGCTCATGGAGTTTTAAATAATTTCAGTAATTTGTCTATATATTTTCTTGGAACTTTCCTGTCTTCAAATAATCACTATGCTTCCTTTGAAATCCACATACTGATATCCATTTTCTCATCTTAGTAAATGGGCTAGGATTCCTGGTAAAAAGTCAAATAGAAGTAATTATAATAGGCACCTCTTTCCCTCTTCCCCTTTCATGATTAGGTACGATGTTTAATGTGGGTTTTTTTGAAAGAGCATTTTCAGGTTAGAGAAAGCAGACTTGCATGAATTGTTTTTTAGAATTGATTATTGATTTTTAAATTAAAGTATTATTTCTGGATATTGAAGTATCCTCTTTAGGCTATTAATGTAACAAATCACAGCAAGTTTTTCTGGCATTTTTCAGTTAAAGCAGTATAGTATAGTCATAATAAAAAAATCCTTGGAGTCAAATTTTGGGAATTTAAAATCATGTTAATTTGTTAACTAGTATGAATAAACTCTCTGGGCCTTATAGTCCTTATTTGTAGATAAATTGATGCTAATGGTTCATAGCTACTTTTGAGAGATAACTGAACATATATATATATATGCAAAGCATTTAGAATAGTGTCGGCCGGGCACGGCAGCTCACGCCTGTAATCCAGCACTTTGGGAGGCCGAGGTGGGTGGTTCTCCTGAGGTCAGGAGTTCAAGACCAGCCTGACCAACATGGAGAAACCCTGTCTCTACTAAAAATACAAAATTAGCCAAGTGTGGCGGCACATGCCTGTAATCCCAGCTACTCGGGCGGCTGAGTCAGGAGAATCGCTTGAACCCGGGAGGCGGAGGCTGCGGTGAGCTGAGATCGCTCCATTGCACTCCAACCTGGGCAACAAGAGTGAAATTCTGTCTCAAAAAAAAAAAAAGAATAGTGTCTAGTGTCTAAAATATACAGTGTAGAATATAGTGTTTTTGAAAATATGTACTAGTAAATATATACAGTATATATTTATAAACATATGAATGTGTAGTTACTAGAAAATAAGAAATGTACATAGCAGAACTGTCTACTTTTATATTCCTTTCTTTTATATTACAGACCAGTGATTGTGGTTTTAAATTTAAATTTCTGGACTACTATTATTTGATTATCATAAGTTTTAAATATACTGCTAAATTTGGTTTGATAATATTTTCTTTAGAAATTTTGTATTCAGTTTGTAAATGTCATTCACAATAATTCCTGATTAGAATTCATTTAAAAACAAAACAAAACTCTTAGCCAATTAGAAATAGAATAAAACTGACACTGATAAAATACATCTATAAAAACCTAATAATCATACATAGTTGTGAAATGTTGAAAGATTTTCTTCTGGGTTCGGAAAGAGACATGGTATGCCTGCTACCATCATATCTATCATTGTACTGGAAGTATTAGCCTATGTCCTAGATGGGATAAAACTGAGGCACATGTTTTTACTCTAAGAACTTCCCCATGGAATTAAACATCAGTTACCCAGAGTGTGAGCTGGTTTGATAATATACCCCTTATTGGCTGTCTTTGCTTCTCCGTCTGAGTTTCCCATTCCCCCTTTTGTGCATCCTGCATTTTCCAAATAAACTATTGCCCATGATCCTTTTGCTCAGAACCTGCTTCTAGTGTTCTAGGACGCATATTCTCAGGATGGGGTTCTGAAGTATATGTGGTCTCAGACAAGGCTGCAACAAGAACCTATTAACTGGTGGTATACCTATTTGTAATAGTCCCTTGCATGGACCATCATTACACCTCTGATGAACTGGAATGGCATACAGGTGGGAAACACTGGCTTATGCCACTGTATGAGTTACATGATAGCACTAATTATTGAAACAAATGTGGATTTGGATATTTTCTGTTCAGTGCTATCAATACAATGATAGAAGAAAATGACGAGCGAATTCTAAATACCAACTAAATGTTCATCGTGAAGTCCAGAAGAATTCTATGGGAAAATGAAAGAGACTTTCATCTCCTATGGCTAGAGAAAAAAATTGTATTAAAAATCATGCCCAGGACTTGAATGGGAAAACATTGTAATAACCAGACAAATGCTAATAAAGCACAATATTGGTTATGACATCTTGAAAAATTGGCACCTATATTATATATATACACGTATATATATATATATACGTATATATATATATATACACGTATATATATATATATATAAAATTATCCTAATAGTGCTGCCAGAGTGACCGCCAGTTGCCTTGTTCCACTGAGATCTGTGGTAAAGTTTAATAGACCATGATCTTTTCAGCTAGTTGGACTGCTTCCCTCCTTCCCCGTCTGACCTGTTCATCTCCCTCACTTGTGCCTGTTGGGATAACCAACCACAGAAACCACAAACTCCTAATTTCTCATTTCAAGGTCTTATTTGGGGAGAAGCTCTAGGACATCTTGTAGTTTTCTTATCTGATGATGCTTTTATAATATCTTAGTTTGAGGGTGATGCAGTCCCCATAAAATAAATAGAAAGCATTTATTTACATTTTCTCTGGAAGACTTTGTATTGGATGAGTATTATTTATTCTTTTTTTTTTTTCACATTTTTTAAATCATTTTTTAATTGACAAAATTGCATATATTTATCAAGTGCAACATGATGTTTTGAAATACATGTATGTTGTGGAATGGCTAAATTGGGCTAATTAACATATGCATTATACCTCACAGAATTATCATTTTTGTTCTGAGAACACTTAAAATCTACTCTCTTAGCATTTTTTTTTTTTTTTTTTTTTTTTATACTCTAAGTTTTAGGGTACATGTGCACATTGTGCAGGTTAGTTACATATGTATACATGTGCCATGCTGGTGTGCTGCACCCACTAATGTGTCATCTGGCATTAGGTATATCTCCCAATGCTATCCCTCCCCCCTCCCCCGACCCCACCACAGTCCCCAGAGTGTGATATTCCCCTTCCTGTGTCCATGTGATCTCATTGTTCAATTCCCACCTATGAGGGAGAATATGCGGTGTTTGGTTTTTTGTTCTTGCGATAGTTTACTGAGAATGATGGTTTCCAGTTTCATCCATGTCCCTACAAAGGATATGAACTCATCATTTTTTATGGCTGCATAGTATTCCATGGTGTATATGTGCCACATTTTCTTAATCCAGTCTATCATTGTTGGACATTTGGGTTGGTTCCAAGTCTTTGCTATTGTGAATAGTGCCGCAATAAACATACGTGTGCATGTGTCTTTATAGCAGCATGATTTATAGTCCTTTGGGTATATACCCAGTAATGGGATGGCTGGGTCAAATGGTATTTCTAGTTCTAGATCCCTGAGGAAGCGCCACACTGACTTCCACAATGGTTGAACTAGTTTACAGTCCCACCAACAGTGTCAAAGTGTTCCTATTTCTCCACATCCTCTCCAGCACCTGTTGTTTCCTGACTTTTTAATGATTGCCATTCTAACTGGTGTGAGATGATATCTCATTGTGGTTTTGATTTGCATTTCTCTGATGGCCAGTGATGATGAGCATTTCTTCATGTGTTTTTTGGCTGCATAAATGTCTTCTTTTGAGAAGTGTCTGTTCATGTCCTTCGCCCACTTTTTGATGGGGTTGTTTGTTTTTTTCTTGTAAATTTGTTTGAGATCATTGTAGATTCTGGATATTAGCCGTTTGTCAGATGAGTAGGTTGCGAAAATTTTCTCCCATGTTGTAGGTTGCCTGTTCACTCTGATGGTAGTTTCTTTTGCTGTGCAGAAGCTCTTTAGTTTAATTAGATCCCATTTGTCAATTTTGGCTTTTGTTGCCATTGCTTTTGGTGTTTTGGACATGAAGTCCTTGCCCATGCCTATGTCCTGAATGGTAATGCCTAGGTTTTCTTCTAGGGTTTTTATGGTTTTAGGTCTAACGTTTAAATCTTTAATCCATCTTGAATTGATTTTTGTATAAGGTGTAAGGAAGGGATCCAGTTTCAGCTTTCTACATATGGCTAGCCAGTTTTCCCAGCACCATTTATTAAATAGGGAATCCTTTCCCCATTGCTTGTTTTTGTCAGGTTTGTCAAAGATCAGATAGTTGTAGATATGCGGCATTATTTCTGAGGGCTCTGTTCTGTTCCATTGATCTATATCTCTGTTTTGGTACCAGTACCATGCTGTTTTGGTTACTGTAGCCTTGTAGTATAGTTTGAAGTCAGGTAGTGTGATGCCTCCAGCTTTGTTCTTTTGGCTTAGGATTGACTTGGCAATGCGGGCTCTTTTTTGGTTCCATATGAACTTTAAAGTAGTTTTTTCCAATTCTGTGAAGAAAGTCATTGGTAGCTTGATGGGGATGGCATTGAATCTGTAAATTACCTTGGGCAGTATGGCCATTTTCACGATATTGATTCTTCCTACCCATGAGCATGGAATGTTCTTCCATTTGTTTGTGTCCTCTTTTATTTCCTTGAGCAGTGGTTTGTAGTTCTCCTTGAAGAGGTCCTTCACATCCCTTGTAAGTTGGATTCCTAGGTATTTTATTCTCTTTGAAGCAATTGTGAATGGGAGTTCACCCATGATTTGGCTCTCTGTTTGTCTGTTGTTGGTGTATAAGAATGCTTGTGATTTTTGTACATTGATTTTGTATCCTGAGACTTTGCTGAAGTTGCTTATCAGCTTAAGGAGATTTTGGGCTGAGACGATGGGGTTTTCTAGATAAACAATCATGTCGTCTGCAAACAGGGACAATTTGACTTCCTCTTTTCCTAATTGAATACCCTTTATTTCCTTCTCCTGCCTGATTGCCCTGGCCAGAACTTCCAACACTATGTTGAATAGGAGCGGTGAGAGAGGGCATCCCTGTCTTGTGCCAGTTTTCAAAGGGAATGCTTCCAGTTTTTGCCCATTCAGTATGATATTGGCTGTGGGTTTGTCATAGATAGCTCTTATTATTTTGAAATACGTCCCATCAATACCTAATTTATTGAGAGTTTTTAGCATGAAGGGTTGTTGAATTTTGTCAAAGGCTTTTTCTGCATCTATTGAGATAATCATGTGGTTTTTGTCTTTGGCTCTGTTTATATGCTGGATTACATTTATTGATTTGCGTATATTGAACCAGCCTTGCATCCCAGGGATGAAGCCCACTTGATCATGGTGGATAAGCTTTTTGATGTGCTGCTGGATTCAGTTTGCCAGTATTTTATTGAGGATTTTTGCATCAATGTTCATCAAGGATATTGGTCTAAATTTCTCTTTTTTGGTTGTGTCTCTGCCCGGCTTTGGTATCAGAATGATGCTGGCCTCATAAAATGAGTTAGGGAGGATTCCCTCTTTTTCTATTGATTGGAATAGTTTCAGAAGGAATGGTACCAGTTCCTCCTTGTACCTCTGGTAGAATTCGGCTGTGAATCCATCTGGTCCTGGACTCTTTTTGGTTGGTAAACTATTGATTATTGCCACAATTTCAGAGCCTGTTATTGGTCTATTCAGAGATTCAACTTCTTCCTGGTTTAGTCTTGGGAGAGTGTATGTGTCGAGGAATGTATCCATTTCTTCTAGATTTTCTAGTTTATTTGCGTAGAGGTGTTTGTAGTATTCTCTGATGGTAGTTTGTATTTCTGTGGGATCGGTGGTGATATCCCCTTTATCATTTTTTATTGTGTCTATTTGATTCTTCTCTCTTTTTTTCTTTATTAGTCTTGCTAGCGGTCTATCAATTTTGTTGATCCTTTCAAAAAACCAGCTCCTGGATTCATTGATTTTTTGAAGGGTTTTTTGTGTCTCTATTTCCTTCAGTTCTGCTCTGATTTTAGTTGTTTCTTGCCTTCTGCTAGCTTTTGAATGTGTTTGCTCTTGCTTTTCTAGTTCTTTTAATTGTGATGTTAGGGTGTCAATTTTGGATCTTTCCTGCTTTCTCTTGTAGGCATTTAGTGCTATAAATTTCCCTCTACACACTGCTTTGAATGCGTCCCGGAGATTCTGGTATGTGGTGTCTTTGTTCTCGTTGGTTTCAAAGAACATCTTTATTTCTGCCTTCATTTCGTTATGTACCCAGTAGTCATTCAGGAGCAGGTTGTTCAGTTTCCATGTAGTTGAGCGGCTTTGAGTGAGATTTTTAATCCTGAGTTCTAGTTTGATTGCACTGTGGTCTGAGAGATAGTTTGTTATAATTTCTGTTCTTTTACATTTGCTGAGGAGAGCTTTACTTCCAACTATGTGGTCAATTTTGGAATAGGTGTGGTGTGGTGCTGAAAAAAATGTATATTCTGTTGATTTGGGGTGGAGAGTTCTGTAGATGTCTATTAGGTCTGCTTGGTGCAGAGCTGAGTTCAATTCCTGGGTATCCTTGTTGACTTTCTGTCTCGTTGATCTGTCTAATGTTGACAGTGGGGTGTTAAAGTCTCCCATTATTAATGTGTGGGAGTCTAAGTCTCTTTGTAGGTCAGTGAGGACTTGCTTTATGAATCTGGGTGCTCCTGTATTGGGTGCATAAATATTTAGGATAGTTAGCTCCTCTTGTTGAATTGATCCCTTTACCATTATGTAATGGCCTTCTTTGTCTCTTTTGATCTTTGTTGGTTTAAAGTCTGTTTTATCAGAGACTAGGATTGCAACCCCTGCCTTTTTTTGTTTTCCATTGGCTTGGTAGATCGTCCTCCATCCTTTTATTTTGAGCCTATGTGTGTCTCTGCACGTGAGATGGGTTTCCTGAATACAGCACACTGATGGGTCTTGACTCTTTATCCAACTTGCCAGTCTGTGTCTTTTAATTGCAGAATTTAGTCCATTTATATTTAAAGTTAATATTGTTATGTGTGAATTTGATCCTGTCATTATGATGTTAGCTGGTGATTTTGCTCATTAGTTGATGCAGTTTCTTTCTAGTCTCGATGGTCTTTACATTTTGGCATGATTTTGCAGCGGCTGGTACCGGTTGTTCCTTTCCATGTTTAGCGCTTCCTTCAGGAGCTCTTTTAGGGCAGGCCTGGTGGTGACAAAATCTCTCAGCATTTGCTTGTCTATAAAGTATTTTATTTCTCCTTCACTTATGATGCTTAGTTTGGCTGGATATGAAATTCTGGGTTGAAAATTCTTTTCTTTAAGAATGTTGAATATTGGCCCCCACTCTCTTCTGGCTTGTAGGGTTTCTGCCGAGAGATCCGCTGTTAGTCTGATGGGCTTCCCTTTGAGGGTAACCCGACCTTTCTCTCTGGCTGCCCTTATCATTTTTTCCTTCATTTCAACTTTGGTGAATCTGACAATTATGTGTCTTGGAGTTGCTCTTCTCGAGGAGTATCTTTGTGGCGTTCTCTGTATTTCCTGAATCTGAACGTTGGCCTGCCTTGCTAGATTGGGGAAGTTCTCCTGGATAATATCCTGCAGAGTGTTTTCCAACTTGGTTCCATTCTCCCAGTCACTTTCAGGTACACCAATCAGACGTAGATTTGGTCTTTTCACATAGTCCCATATTTCTTGGAGGCTTTGCTCATTTCTTTTTATTCTTTTTTCTCTAAACTTCCCTTCTCGCTTCATTTCATTCATTTCATCTTCCATTGCTGATACCCTTTCTTCCAGTTGATCGCATCGGCTCCTGAGGCTTCTGCATTCTTCACGTAGTTCTCGAGCCTTGGTTTTCAGCTCCATCAGCTCCTTTAAGCACTTCTCTGTATTGGTTATTCTAGTTATACATTCTTCTAAATTTTTTTCAAAGTTTTCAACTTCTTTGCCTTTGGTTTGAATGTCCTCCCGTAGCTCAGAGTAATTTGATCGTCTGAAGCCTTCTTCTCTCAGCTCGTCAAAATCATTCTCCATCCAGCTTTGTTCTGTTGCTGGTGAGGAACTGCGTTCCTTTGGAGGAGGAGAGGCGCTCTGCGTTTTAGAGTTTCCAGTTTTTCTGTTCTGTTTTTTCCCCATCTTTGTGGGTTTATCTACTTTTGGTCTTTGATGATGGTGATGTACAGATGGGTTTTCAGTGTAGATGTCCTTTCTGGTTGTTAGTTTTCCTTCTAACAGACAGGACCCTCAGCTGCAGGTCTGTTGGAATACCCTGCCATGTGAGGTGTCAGGGTGCCCCTGCTGGGGGGTGCCTCCCAGTTAGGCTGCTCGGGGGTCAGGGGTCAGGGACCCACTTGAGGAGGCAGTCTGCCCGTTCTCAGATCTCCAGCTGTGTGCTGGGAGAACCACTGCTCTCTTCAAAGCTGTCAGACAGGGACACTTAAGTCTGCAGAGGTTACTGCTGTCTTTTTGTTTGTCTGTGCCCTGCCCCCAGAGGTGGAGCCTACAGAGGCAGGCAGGCCTCCTTGAGCTGTGGTGGGCTCCACCCAGTTCGAGCTTCCCGGCTGCTTTGTTTACCTAAGCAAGCCTGGGCAATGGCGGGCGCCCCTCCCCCAGCCTCGTTGCCACCTTGCAGTTTGATCTCAGACTGCTGTGCTAGCAATCAGCGAGATTCCGTGGGCGTAGGACCCTCTGAGCCAGGTGTGGGATATAGTCTCGTGGTGCGCCGTTTCTTAAGCCGGTCTGAAAAGCGCAATATTCGGGTGGGAGTGACCCGATTTTCCAGGTGCGTCCGTCACCCCTTTCTTTGACTCGGAAAGGGAACTCCCTGACCCCTTGCACTTCCCAGGTGAGGCAATGCCTCGCCCTGCTTCGGCTCGCGCACGGTGCGCACACACACTGGCCTGCGCCCACTGTCTGGCACTCCCTAGTGAGATGAACCTGGTACCTCAGATGGAAATGCAGTAATCACCCGTCTTCTGTGTCGCTCACGCTGGGAGCTGTAGACCGGAGCTGTTCCTATTCGGCCATCTTGGCTCCTCCCTCGAGTATTATTTATTCTTAAACATTTGAAGTAATTACAGGTGAAGCCTTCTGGGACTTTTAAAATGATGTACTCAATTTCTTTATTTTCTGAATATATTACTTCTTCTCAAGTAAGCTTGTATAAGTCACCCTTCTCAAGAATGGGTTCATTTTCATTTAAGTTTTGGCACCTAATTTCTTTTTTTCAATGTATGTTGAATCTGCCATTTACATACTGATATTTATAATTTGTGTTTTTGGGTCTTTTTAAAATTATTTTAGCCTGGGTTTGTTAAGTATATTAAAGTTCTAAAGAAACAAATTTTGGATTGTCAATAACCATGAAAGATCCGAGATTTTACTCAACTTGCAATCTAACAAATTAGCTCACAGTTTCATTGAAACAGATAGAAAACACAAGACTCCTGGGTTACAGAAAAAGGATGTTTTATTACTCATAATGATAGCAGTAGCCATGTTCTCAACATTTGCCCCTGCTTCTCCTAAGTGTCATGAAGGTAATTACTAAAGAAGTCATGCTTTTCAGGAGAGAATCACTGAGCTTAGGGAACACATATATTGTATAATGGATAGTAAGCATGCTTGCCCTTTGCTCCAGAGGGTAGCACTATTTGATGTATAAAGATAGTCTTTTTGGCTTGAAAAGTTAAAGGTCAACCAACTATAGTTGGTACCATGGCTATAATTGACACTTTTTTTAAATCCTTAAAAATGATTTTTTAAACTTGTATTTTAATTTCAGAGGTACATACACGTATAGGATTGATACATAGGTAAACTTGTGTTATGGGGGATTGTAACTGACACTTATCTCCCTCCTTCATTTTCTTTTCAAAAATCTCTCCTCCAACTTGGCTAATGCTTCTGTATGTTTAGATGGTTTGCCTGGTGTGTGGTTCAAACTCTCATCTGTAAAGGATCTGTGATCTTACACCACTGTAGAAATATGTGCTTTCTGTACTCACCCATTTTCATTTAAAACTGGGGGTGGGAAAAAATACAAAACACCTAGTATACAATTGAAATGCCAAATTGACAAGGAACATTCCTCCTTGTCCCCATTATGTAGCATAAGAGCCCTATTTCTTCATAATGATCAAGATCAATTATACTTGCCAACAAGGTAATCTTTTTCTCTACCGGCTGGTCAACTGTCACACAGAGCCCAAATTATCTAGTTTGTAGCTGTAATTTTAAGTTTAGTGGGACACTAACTGTGTCTTCTTGTGGAAGCATTCTTCTTTTAGGAAACGAAGACATCTAAACACTCAAAACCTGAAGTTGTTGAGACAATAAACACATATTTCCTAAGTGTGTTACTAGGAATGACAGTAAGGAGTACTGTATTTGTCCATTTTCATACTGCCATGAAGAAATGCCTGAGACTGGATAATTTATAAAGAAAATGAGGTTTTATGGACTCAGTTCCACATGGCTAGGGAGGCCTCACAATCATGGAGGAAGTTGAAGGAGAAGCAAAGACACATCTTACATGGTGTCAGGCAAGAGAGTGTGTGCAGGGGAACTGCCCTTTAAAACCATCAGATTTTATGAGAATTAATCACTATCATGAGGTCGGCATGGGAAAACCCACCCCATTATTCAATTATCTCCCACTGGTTCCCTCCCACAACATGTGGGGTTTATGGGAGCTATAATTCAAGATGAGATTTGGGTGAGGACACAGCAATATCAAGTATCATCTCTGTTTTTACCTCTACATTTTTCAATTCCTGTCCTTTACTCATTAATGACAGAGCACCATAAAATAGGCATTGATTTAAAGTGTATATGGACTGAGGAGAGAGGAGAAAGGAGGCCAAATGGAACACTTCAGCAATAGTGTTCCTGCAGAATCACCAGATTGAACAACTATTCATGCAAGAAAACATCTTCATAAGAACCAAAAAAATCAGATGAGTGGTCACAGTAACTGGTTTTAAAATAATAGCCAGGAAAGTCACTTTAAAGGAGGTGGGGAAGACAGCCTTGCATTGTCTACACCACTCCTACAAACCCAGGCAGTGCAGCAAGAGGACAGTTTGCATGCTTGGAGGAGGGACAGTGAAGTGCATTTGAGACTTTACATTGGAATTCAGTTCTGCCCTCTCACAGTCAAATACAACACAAGGCAGAATTCTGCTGGCACCCATGGAGGGAAAATTTAGACAGCCCTAAGCCAGAGGGAAATACTTTGCCTCAGTGGAAGGAACATGAGTCTTGGTTTGCTTCAGTATCAACAGACTGAAATGGCCAGAGAACCCTAAATAAATTTGAGTGAGAGACAGGCCGCAGGGACTATAGTCCTTGGGCAAGCCCTGGTGCTGCACTGAACTTGGTTGCAGAGGACTTAGAGTGCAACCCAGTGCAACAACAGCTCTGCAGCTGGCCATGAGAGTGCCTATGTCACCCCTACCCCAACTCCAGGCAGTGCAGCTTGGGGAAAGACTCTTTTCACTTGGGGAAAGGAGAGGGATGAGTACAAAGGACTTTGTCTTGCAACTTGGGTACCAACTCAGCCACAGTAAAACAAAGCACCAAGCAGATTTCTGAAGCCTCTAATTCCAGACTTTTGCTTCTAAATGACATTTCTAAACCTACCCTGGGCCAGAAGGAAATCTGATCTCCTGATGAGACAGACTTAGTCCTGGAAGAATTCACCAACTTCTGACTAAAGTGCTTTGACCTTGAGTAAACATCAGCACTAGGCAGACAGTAGTGCCTATGGGCTGCAGGTAAACCCCAGTACTATCCTTGCCTGAAAGGCTGTTGGTCTTTCAGATCCAGTGTAGTTCTAGCTGTGGTGGCCATGAGAGTTCCCATGTCACCCCTCCCCCAATGCAAAGAGGAACTCCTCCTGATTGGGGGAAAGAAAGAGAAGAAAATAAGACACTTTTGCCTGGTAACTGAGGGAATTCTCCCTTATTGTCTCCAAGTCCACCAAGGCTGTATATCTAGGAGTCTTAAGAGTCACAGCATTCCTGGGCTTATGGAGCCACATTGTGCTGAAAGGACTCAGTGACCACAGGGTTAGGTCACAACACTCAATACCCTTTTTAATTCTTGGAAAGCCCACTCAAGAAAGACAGATACAACAAATCCCAACTGTGAAGATTAGAATGAATACCTAGCTTTCAATGCCCAGACATTAACGAACAACTACAAGCATCAAGAATATTCAAGAAAACATGACCTCACCAAATAGACTAAATAAGGTACCAGTGACCAATTCTGGAGTGGTAGAGATATGTGACCTCTCAGACAAAGAGTTCAAAATAGCTGTCTTGAGGAAGCTCAGTGAACTTCAAAAGAGCACAGAAAAGGAGTTCAGAATTCTGTCAGAGAAATTCAATAGACATTTGAAATTTAAAAGATCAAGCCAAAATTCTGGAGCTGAAAAATTTAGTTGACAAACTGAAAACTGTATCAGAGCCTCTCAGCCGTATAATTGATCAAGCAGAAGGAAAAAATAGTGAACTAGAAGATGATCTGTGTAAAAGTATACAGTCAGAGGAAAACAAAGAAAAAAGAATGAGAAAGAATGCTGGAGGCCTACAAGAAGGTACCAGGAGGTAAAAGAAAACCAAGCAAATTCAACCCAAGTATTACTGCCTCAAGACATATAACAATCAAACTCTCAAAGGTCAGGAATGAGGAAAGTATTCAAAAAGAAGCATATAACATATAAGAGCTCTGATATGTCTGTGGCATACTGCTTAGTGGAAACTTTACAGGCCACAAGGGGATAGGATGACATCTTCAAAGTGCTGAAGGAACTAACTTTCAACGTAGAAAAGTGTATTCAGCGAAATTCTCATTCGAACATGAAGGAGAAATAAAGACTTTCCCGCAAAAAAAGAAAACCAAAGGAATTTTAGTAACATCAGTTTTGTCTTACAGGAAATGCTAGAGAGTTCTTTAACATGAAAGAAGCAAATGGTAGTGAACAGTAAGAGATCATCTGAAGGTAAATAACTTACTGGTAAAAGTAACTACACAGACAAAGAATACTCTTTAACACTGAAATTGTGTGTAAACCACTCATATCTTTAGTAGAAAGGCTAAGACAAATCTGTCAACTACAACAATTTGTAAAGAGATAGACTATATAAAAAGATAAAAATAGAGAAAACAAAAAGTCAAAAAGCAGAAGTGTAGTTTTTTAATATTCTTTCTGCTTGTTTTTTTTTATCTTTGTGATTTGAGTTGTCATCAGTTTAAAATAATTGGTTATAAAATGTTGGTTCCGAACCCATGATAACCACAAAGCAAAAACCTATAAGAAATACACAAAAAATAAAAGCAAGAAATTAAATAATAATACCAGGGAAAATAACTTACACACAGAGGAAGACAGCAATGAAGGAAGGGAGGGAGGGAGGGAGGGAGGAAGGAAGGAAGGAAGGAAGGAAGGAAGGAAGGAAGGAAGGAAGGAAGGAAGGAAGGAAAAACAAACCAACCAATCAGAAAACAATTAACAAAATGGCAGTAGTAAATCATTATATATCAATAATAACATTAAATGTAAGTTAACAAAATTCTCCTATCAAGAGACATTAAATGGTTGAATGAATTTTTAAAAATCCAAGTATATGTTGTTTACAAGAAAATCACTTCACCTATAAAGACACATGTTGACTGAAAATGTAGGCATTGAAAAAGATAACCCAGGCAAAGGAAAACCAGAAAAGAATAGGAGTGGCTATACTTATATCCAACAAAATATATTTCAAGACAAAAACAATAAACAGAGACAAAGATGATCTTATATAATGATCAAAGGATCAATTCAACAAAAAGATATAATAATTATAAATGTATATGCACCCAACACTGGAGCACCCAGATGTATAAAGTGAATATTTTTAGAGCTAAAGAGAGACCTCCAAAAATAATAGTCAGAGACTTCAACACTCCACTTTTAGCATTAAATAGATCATCTAGATAAAAAAATCGGCTAAGAAACAATCAGACTTAATCTGCACTGTAGAACAAATGCACCTAATAGATATTTATAGAACATGTCACCCAACAGCTGCAGAATATGCATTCTTCTCCTCAGCACATAGAATGTTCTCAAGGATAAAACCTATGGTAGGCCACAAAACCAGTCTTTTTTCTTTGAGACAAGGTCTTGCTGTGTCGCCCAGGCTGGAGTGCAGTGGGTGATCATGGCTCATTACAGCCTCAACCTACAGGGCTCAAGTCATTCTCCCACCATAAGCCTCTCAACTAGCTGGGACTACAGGTGCCCACCACCATGCCTGGCTAATATTTTTTCTTTTTCTTTCCCTTTCTTTCTTTCCCTTTTTTTTTTTTTTTTTTTTGAGACAGAGACTCATTATATTGCCCAGGCTGGTAAAATCAGTCTTAAATAATTCTACATGGATATTTATAGCAACTTTATTAAAACCCCCAAATGCTAAACAACCAAAATATCCTTCAGTGGATAGATGGATTAAAAACTGGCTCATTCATACAAAGAAATACCATTTAGCAATAATAAGGAACAAATTATTGATACAGGCAACAATGTGAATGAATCTCAATACCTTATGAAAAAGGTCAGATGCAAAAGATTGTGTTCTGTGTGTTTTATTGATATAACATTCTGGAAAAGGCAAAACTATAGTGACCTAGAGCAGATTAGTTGCCAGGGCTGGAGGTCAAGAGAAGTTGACAAGGAAAAGCGCAAGGGAATTTGGGGAGTAATAGAACAAGTTTATAAGACTGTGTGTGTACAGTTGTCAAAGCTCATAGAACTGTACACCAAGAAGAGTGAATTTTACTGTTTATCTATTTAAAAATGAAATAAATGACTTTGCTTTCTTGCAAATTCAAAGAAATTAAAATCATATCAAGTATATTTTCTGACCACAATGGAATCAGTAATGAGATAAACTTTAAAAATTACACAAACACATGAAAATTAAACAATATGCTTCTGAATGACCATTAAGTAAATGAAGACATTAAGAAGAAAATTTAAAAAATTCTTGAAACAAATAAAATGGAAACAAACCTATGGGATACAGGAAAGGAAAACAAGAAGTTCATACTAATGAACACTTTCATCAAAAAAGTAAAATTTTTAAATAACCTAACAATGCATCTTAGAGAATTAGAACAATAAGAGCAAACCAAACCCAAAATTAGTAGAAGAAATAATAAAGAACTCTGCAGAAATAAGAGAAAGTGGACTAAAGAAGCATATAAAATATCAACAAAATGAAAAGGTGATTTTTTTTGAAAAGATAAAATAGACAAATCTTTAACCAGGCAAACTGAAAAAAAAAGAGAAGGCCCAAATAAATAAAATCAATTACAAAAAAGGGAGACAACACTCATACCACAGAAATTCAAAAAATTATTAAAGACTATTATGATCCAATAAATTGGAAAATCTAGAAGAAATGGCTAAATTCCTAGACACATAAAACCTACAGTGATTAAAGCAGGAAGAAATCCAAAACCTGAATAGACCAATAAC
This sequence comes from Homo sapiens, assembly GCF_000001405.40. Classification (NCBI taxonomy): domain Eukaryota; kingdom Metazoa; phylum Chordata; class Mammalia; order Primates; family Hominidae; genus Homo; species Homo sapiens. Next base: position 91,971,721 of record NC_000004.12, on the reverse strand, counting down.
AAGTGGCAAGATAGAACAGTAATAAAAGTCTCCCATCAAGGAAAATCTCAGGACCTGGTGTAGATGAATTCTGCAATGCAACTAAAAAAGAACTAATAATAATCCTACTGAAACGATTAAAAAAAATCAAGTAGGAGTAAACACTTCCAAATATATTCTATGAAGACAGTATTACCCTGATAGCATAACCAGACAAAGGCACAACATAAAAAAATTCTACAGGCCAATATTTTTGATGAACATAAATGTAAACATCTTCAACAAAATACTAGCAACTCAAACAATACATTAAAAAGATAATTCATCATGACTAAGTGGTCTTCATCCCAGGGAGGCAAGGATGGTTCACCATACACAAATCAATGAATTTGATACATCATATCAATAGAATGAAAGACAAAAACCATATGATCATTTCAATAGATGCCAAAAAACATCTAATAAAATTCAACATTGCTTCATAATAAAAACTCTCAATACAGTGGGTATAGAAGGAACATACTTCAACATGATAAAAGTCATATGCAACAAACTCACAGATAGTGTCATACTGAACAGGGAAAACTGCAATCCTTTCCTCTAAAGCCTGGAACAAGGCCTGGAAGCCCACTTTCACCGCTTTTCTTTAACATAGTACTGGATATCCTAGCCAGAGCAATCGGGCAAGTGAAAGAAATAAAGGATATCCAAATAGGAATATAGGAAAGGGAGAAGTCAATTATCTTTTTTTTTTTTTTTTTTTTTTTTTTGCAGATGATATGATCTTATACTTAGAAAAATCTAAATACTACACAAAAAAACTATAGAATTGACAGTAAAACTCACTAAAATTGCAGGATACAAAACCAACATACCCAAATCAGTAGCATTTCCATATGCCAATAGCAAAAAATCTGAAAAAGAAACCAATAAAATAATACCATTTAGAGTAGTTACAAATAAAATAAAATATCTAGAGATAAACTCAACCAAAAAGTATAAGATCTCTATGATGATAACTATAAAACATTGATAAAAGAAATTGAAGAGGACAATAAATAAATGGAAATCTATTTCATATTTATGGATTGAAGGAATAAATACTGCTAAAATGTCCATAGTACCCAAGATAATCTACAGATTCAATGTGATTCCCATTAAAATATCAAAAACATTATTCAAAAAAATTGAAAAAATAATTTTTGTATTTTTAGTAGAGACTAGGTTTCACCATGTTGGCCAGGCTGATCTCAAACTTCTGACCTCAGGTGATCCTCCCGCCTTGTCCTCCCAAAGTGCTGGGATTACAAGCATAAGCCACCACATCTGGCCAATAATCTTAAAATTCATATGGAAGCACAAATGAGCCAGAATAGCCCCAGCATCCCTGAGCAAGAGGAACAAAGCTGGAGACAATGTTATAGTAACCGAAACAACATGGTACTGGCATAAAAACAGACTCATAGACCAATGAGTCTATGACAACATAGAAAACAACAACAAAAATATCCACATTTTCACAGCCAATTCATTTTTTACAAAGGTACCAAGAACATACATTGGGAAAAGGAGATTCTTCATAAATGGTGCTGGGAAAATTGGATATTCATATGCAGAAGAATAAATCTAGACCCCTATCTTTAAACATATACAAACTCAAATAAAAATAGATAAAATACTTAAATCAAAGATGTAAAACTATGGAACTACTAGAAGAGAACAGAAAAACACCTGAAAACATTTGTCTGGGCAAAGATTTATTAAGTTCCTAAAAGCACAAGCAACCAAACCAGAAATGCACAAATGGGATCCTATCAATTTAAAAAACTCCTGTACAGCAAAGGAAGCAATCGATAAACTAAAGAGATAACCCACAGAATGGGAGAAAATATCTGCGAACTAAAAACCTGTCAGGGATTATTAACCAGAATATATAAGCAACTCATAAAACTCAATAGAAAAAGGAAATAATCTAATCAACAAATGGGCAAAAGATCTAAATAGACATTTCTTGAAAGGAGAAATACAAATGGCCAAAATGTATATGAAAAACTGCTCAACATCACTAATCATTACAGAAATGGGAATCAAAACCACAAGAAGTTATCATCTCTACCAGTTAAAAAATGGCTTTTATTAAAAAAAAAAAAGCAATAATAGATACCGGCAAGTATGCAGAGAAAAGGAAAGCTTTGCACACTGTTTGCAGGAATGTAAATTAGTACAGCCACTATGGAGAACAGTACAGAGGTTCCTCAAGAAACTGAAAATAGAACTATCATATGCCCCAGCAATCTTACTGCTGGGTAGATATCCAAACAAAAGGAAATTAGTATATTGAAGAGATATCTGCACTCCCATGTTTATTGCAGCACTGTTCACAATAGCCGAGATATGAAATCAACCTATGTATCCATTAACGAATGAATGGATAAGTGCTACATATACACAATAGAATATTATTTAGCCATAAAAGAGAATGAAAGCTTGTCATTTGCAACAACATGGACGGACTGGAAGTCGTTATAGTAAATAAAACAAGCTAGGCACAGAAAGACAAATATCACGTTCTCACTCATATGTTAAAATCTACCAAAAATAAAAATAAAACTACACTCATGGAGATAGAGATTAGAATAAAGGTTACCAGGGACTGTGGTGGATAGCAGTAGGGGTGGGGGGAAAACGGGGGAGTGGTTAATGGGTACAAAATACAGGTAGATAGAAGAAATAAGATTTAGTCATTGGTAGCACAGTAAGGTATGTATATTGTATACAATATAAATATATTGTATATTTCAAAATAAGTAAAAGTGTACAGTTGGAATGTTCCTATTACAAAGAAATGATAAATGCTTGAGGTGATGGATATCCAAATTACCCTGATTTGATCATTATACATTGTATGCTTGTATCAAAATATCACATCCCCCCATAAATATGTACAACTGTTATGTAGGAATAATAATCAAATATAAAAAATTAAAAATATATAGGGTATATGTGTCCTTTACAGTGCCATGTGCTTATTTGCTTGCATTCCCAAACCCAGTTGGCACTTACCTTATAGACAGGTCATACGAAACCCATATGAGGAAAAGTGTAGGTGAGATGGGGGTTTTGGCTACCTGCTCGGCCAACTTTCACATTCCCTCTAGGTTTGTTTGGGTCATTTGAAAATGTGCTGCTTCCATTTTAGGGTGTTTTGCTGCGAGAACACCTGGCCTTAGTCTTCTTTGGGAACAACAATACTTACATCTTAATGGGCATGTCTGTCTACACATTTATTTGATGTGCAATAGTCTGATGTTCAATCTCAATTCAGGATCAGTAGCATATCAGAAACTGCTTTTTAAAAAAGCAAAAAAAAAACTTCTTTTTATTTTAGAAATGTTTTAGATTTACAGAAAAATTGCAAAAATAGCACAGGAGATTCTCAGATACCCTGGATTCAGCTTCTCCTGTTAACATCTTACATTGGTATGATAGATTTATTACAATTAATGCACCAACATTGATGCATTATTATTACCTAAAGTTCATAATTTATCTGGATTTCTTTAGTTTTTATCAAACACTCTTTTTTTTTTTTTTCTGTTCCAGGATCTACATTATATTTAGTTGTTATGTCTCTCTAGGCTCATATTGACTGTGACAGTTTCTCAGATATTCTTTGTTTTTGATGGCCTTGACAGTTTGAGGAGTGCTGGTTAGATATTTTATTAAATCTCTCTCAATTGGGATTTGTTCAATATTTTTATTATGATTAGATAGAACTTAAGTATTGTTTGAAGGAAAACCAGAGAAGTAAAATGCTGTTTTCATCACATTGTGTCAGAGATATATATTATCAATATGATTTACCATTGCTGATGTTAATCCTGATCACTTGGCTGAGGTAGGGTTTGTCAGATTTTTCCACTTTAAACTTACTTGTAACTCTTCTTTTCACTTTTTACTCTTTGGAAGCAAAGCACTATGTGCATTCCACACTTAAGGAGTAGAGAAACATATTACATCTCTTTGAGGGTGGAGTATCTACTTAGATTGAGCTTTTCTGTATGGTCAATTTGTCTCTTTTCCCTAATTTATTTATATCTGTATATACTTTTGTATATGTATTTTATATTTGGGGTTATAATTATTTTATTTTATTGCTAAAATTATTTCAGCTTTGTCCATTGGTAGTTTTTTCATTCAGCCCCTGTGTCCCTTTGGCATATCCCAATCATTGTGGGTTTTGTTTTGTTTTGAGTATGGACACAGGATGCTCTAATATCATATTGTATATTTCTTGCCATAGTCCTAAAATCAATCATTTCTCCAAGGAGCTCTAGCTACTTTCATTGGAGACTGGTATTAGAAGCCAAGATCTGTGCCCTAGGTATGCCAATTACTACTGGGGAGTCATTGCTTGTAGGCTCTCTTGTCTGACAAAATGAGAGAACATATGTGTATATACTAACTAGGATATATATATATATATATATATATGTATATATATATATATACACACACACACACATATACGTGTGTGTGTATATATACACACATGTATATATATACATATATACATGTATGTATATATACACACACACGTATATGTATGTGTATATGTACATTGTGCATATGTAGCACTTATCCATTCATTCGTTAATGGACACATAGGTTGATTTCATATCTCGGCTATTGTGAACAGTGCTGCAATAAACGTGGGAGTGCAGATATCTCTTCAATATACCAATTTCCTTTTGTTTGGATATCTACCCAGCAGTAAGATTGTGTGTGTGTGTGTGTATATATATATACACACACACATATATGTATTTGTAGATAAATTTATATATATCCATATCTATAAATATTTGTATAAAATATTCATAAATATATACATATATACAAATATTTCCAAATATCTACAAATATTTCTAAATGTATGTCTAGCTACACTAAAGTTTAGCTCATTCTTATGTGTCATACTCTAATGCATTACAGCGTGAATTATTCTAGCCTTCCCCCCTCAGAGGCTGCTTCTCAAACAGGCTATAGTTCTTTGCTGCAGAAAGTAAATTCTTTCTCAAGAATCAGATGGGTCTGTTCTCTGACTTGCAGTTTTCATATTCGGATTTTCCCGAAAGTCTACATGTCACTGTGGCATTTTTGTCTCTGCCAAACACACCTCTAGGGTATGTGTTCTGCCATATTCTGTTGCCCTAGTGTCAATGCTGCTTGTTCACAGCTTGGCCTTGATATAGAACACCTTTTATTCCCCCTCCTTTGCAGCCCACTCAAACTAGTAGATTACAATTATCTAATAGTATATTATAAGGATCTACTATATTGTAATTGTAATATATATGTAACATATATGGAGACATCACATTACCTGACTTCAAATTATACTACAATGTTATAGTAACCAAAACAACATGGTACTGGCATAAAAACAGACTCATAGACCAATGAGTCTATGACAACATAAAAAACAAACAAACAAAAATACAGTTATCTACTATATATATGTTGGAACAGTATTCCAAAGTGTGGAATATGTAATTCAATATCTGAAGAAAACTATGAAGCATAGTGCTTTTGTTTTTTTTGTTTTTTTTGAGTGGTAGATGGTAAGAGGTAAAAGATGTTATCCTTTTCATTGAATAGGATTCCCTGGCATATTCTTGTACAATAGATCCCCTAAAAAGTTCCCTACCAGGACACAGAGAGGGGAACAACACAGAGGGTGGGGGTCAAGGGGAGGGAGAGCATTAGGACAAATACCTAATGCATGTGGGGCTTAAAACCTAGATGACAGGTTGACAGGTGCAGCAAACCACCATGGCACATGTATATCTGTGTAACAAACCTGCACATTCTGCACATGTATCCCAGAACTTAAAAATAAAAAAAATAATAATATTAAAAAGTTTCCTTATGTGACAAGCCTCCAAAACTTTACTGAATATAGGTCTCACTCACCAGTGAAAATATGGGTTTAATTAATCCAGAGCATATACAAATATTTTGCCATTTGGGTCCAATTAACATGACATTCTGGGCTAATGTGATATTCTGTAGAAAGTCCAGATGACAGATCAGGAGCAGAAGAATGATCATGGTCTTAGGCTAAAACAGTACATTCATAGCCTTGTTAATCCCTTGTGAATATGACTTGCTTCAGTTTCTCCTTTCTCAAGCCTATTGGGTAAAAATAAGCATTGGCCAAACCAATTACTGTGCATCCCAGAGGTTTGGTTAATCTATTTTAGATATGACAACAAAACTGGAAGATAACACATCTGGAACAGCAATTACAATTCTATTTCTTGGTTACATTTTTGGTAATTCTACTGTCATCCACTATATTCCATCTCCAACCTGTAGGAGACAGACTGGTGAACTGAATGGGAAGTTTCCCAAGTAAAGCATCCCATTCTTTAAGTCTTTGAGGCTGACACTAATATTTACTCTTTCCCACAAGATGTAGTATTGCTTCTAAAAAAATGGAGACATTTCAGGGAATTCTACTTTGTCTTTTTCACTATGGTTCTATAGGTTAGGAAACCAAAGTAAGGATTCTGGTAACTGCTAAATATATTCATTTGATTTTATATTCAGAAACCAGGAACATGATCACTAGGAAGATTCATGGATGTGCTGGATCAACTGTGAGATGGCTTACTTTTAATATCTGATAATCCCCTCCTCTAAGAAGAAACCATGGTGACATTTTGTGTTCTTGAGTCAGTCATTGACAGTGGAAGACAGCTCAGGAAGAGCATCAACTCTCTTGCAAAAGTGGCTCCTTTTCAGCCAAGTGCAATTCTCCAGGGAAGACAGTAGATAGCCATTTTCAACCAATAGCTTAACAGTGTCTGGAACATGGTTATGTATGTAGGCATCAATAACATCTACTACAAAGGCTAAAAAATACTTAAAACCAAAAGTTTTTTTTTTTAACTTAAAAACTTTTCTAGGTTTAATCTAACCAGTAAACAAATTAGTTATTAGGGCCTTAAGGTTCCATATAGTATGATATAAAGTATACTAGTCTATGAGGAATATACCACAAAAAGAGTCACAAAATATACCCCAAAGTATCTATCTGTTTTGTTGTAGAATGTTGTTAAATATATAATTATCAAATTTGGCATACTTGTTTGCCACAAAAAAAGACCTTTGGTTTTAAAGGAGTTGACCTTAACGCATTTTTGTCTTATTTGTACTTTTCAAAAACATATTATTTTGTGATAAACTATATTACCACTGTAATGGAGACTGTTTATTCTATGTATCAGGGAGATCAATATCAACTTTTATGAGGATGACAGTTATAGTCACTACTCCTCAGAGATTCAGAGCTTAGTTTGATTCTTACAGCATCCTCACCAGAAAGCTCAGATTATTACTCCGTCTTGAATATTAGATGACTGTGTGCTAAGTAGTGTGTTAGTCAGACTACTTATTCTAAATCCCCCTACCACTTTGTGAGATTTTTGTTTTGTAATATAGAAAATTATACTATATATGAGTAAAATTTATATGTATATGTGTGTGTGTATATATATAATATATAATATAATATATATATATTATATATATAATATATAATATATAATATATATATATATTATATATATATTATATATATTATATATAATATATAATAATATATAATATATATTATATATATATATAATATATAATAATATATAATATATATTATATATATATATAATATATATTATATATTATATATATATAATATATATATATATGTGAACCCCTTAAATCTGTAATGGGTTCAGATGAAACCCTTATAGGGGATTGAAATGATCATGAAAAATTAAGTTAGTATGTGTAAGTCTTTGAAACTTTTGCCTATTTATTGCTTATGTGGTTTAAGTTACTCTTGAAATTGGCTAGCATTCTGAATTTGCTTTCTTTTTAAGATGTATGCCATACACATGTTAGTATGACTAAACCATCCTTTTTTCAATTTTCCTGATTTTTGATTCATGTGCAAAGTTGTGAATCAGATTGAATCGTCTAAATGAATCATCACACTCCCCCAAACTTCCTGCGTGTTTGCACCCTGTCTGTTTGAACGTTTATATTTAGAATTCTCAAACATGCCCAGGGAGTAAGAAATATACAACAGAAACATCTGTTCCTCTTGGCAAAACTATTTCATGCTTTTTTACTTTTCAGGGTCAAGAAAAATACCTTAAGATTATTCTTATATCTGAGAGATTTAACATTTCTTATTTGTAATCTTAATCTAAATGCAGTTATTTAAACATTCATACGCACACTAACACACACACACACACACACACAAGCACACACACTTGAGAGGCAGAAAAATGTACACAAATGATAAGATGCACGGAAACAATTTTTTTCCTGTTTTTCAGTGTATGATTTTTCCTTAGCAGTTTTACAAGTTTATGGTGAGAAAAGAAATCCTTGACCTACCCAGTTTGTCTTTGGGCTGCCTCATCCCTACCCTCCCTCAGCCTACCTTTAGATTTTGCAAGCGTGAAGGAAATGTTTCTAAAATAAAAGCAAATTTTCTTTGATGCTTGCTTATCTGGTTGCTCCCCATTTAGCTAAGGTCAAAACTGTAAAGCTTATTTATACCTTTTGGCCAGACTGGAGGCTGAATTCATTTTCTAGAACTATACTGTAAAGGTCACAGATGAATATGGCATGGTTCCTGTACATTGTTACTGGGCCCAGCCTCAAGCACACATTTTCCATTCTGACCAGCATTTTCAGGGATGCCTTAGGGAAAGAAGTGATCATTTTAACATCTTTTCTCTTCAAAAATTTTAAATCCATCTAAGCCTGTGGGGCCAATTAATTTTTTTGAAGGCTGAGACAGCCCAAGACATGATAAACCCTTTAACAGTTTTTTAAAAAAATTTTATAGTGAATACCTCTAACATATTATTGTCTTTTGCTTGATAGAAATAAAATTGTTGCCAACTGTGCTGGGAAATCATAAAAGTCTAGCTAATGGGAAACAGCTTTAAAGGGTAGAGAACATGAATATTAAGTTATCATGGTGTGAACAGATACCTTATATTGCTGGATCTACAACTGCCAGGTATAAGAACAATTAGCCCAATGTTAATCTAAGTTGTATGGTGTTAAGCAACTATAAGAGGGTGTATGAACATTTATTATCAGAGTTAACTGGGTCTGTAATTAAAAACACTTGCTTAAAGGGGAACATTTTTAGAATATGCCTTACTGTTAATAAAGCTGAGCTAATCTTTGTAAAGTAACCAGTGTAGTGCTTGTCACCTGGTAAGCATTCAGTAAACAGTGGTGCTTTTTATCAGAGTAAGGGCGCAAATTCTCAGATGATAGCTCTCTTGAATAAGGAATTTGATTTTTTATGATTAAACTTCATTTTGAAACTTTGTTCTACCAGGCGGCAAAAATTAAATTTTAGCAAGTTATTCTTCACCTCAATTCATGAAGTTGTTTCTCTTGGGGACTTAATTAAGGCCAAGACCGAGGCCTTAATTAAGGTGCTTGGGAGGCGAGATATATCTAACAAAGGTGATGCTACATGTTTACTGTGGTTTCTATCATGAAGTCTTCGTTTACTCAGCTCATTGATGGTGGATCCACAAACATAATTGATTCAGTTGGACACATTGCTTCATCTTGCCACAAGACCCTTCCACACCTGCCAGACTAAAGTGCCACATTTATGCTCGTTTTGGCTGCAGAGGAAAACTTTTTTAGGCTGCCGATTCATGATGGCAGAAACCAGGGATTCTACCAAGTTGCCTCAGATCTGACTGCCTATAGGGCTTATGCAGAAATTTCTTATGTTCTCACACTAGCCTAGGAAGGGGCAAACTCTGACTCTTAATGCTTTGTGAGCCCTAACTGAAAAAGGTGGTTCAGGTTTTCATCTACTTTTGAATTTCTCAAACTAAAATCTATCTGTAATTCCTATCCTCACTCCAGGATTTGTCCAAATGAGAAAAAGGTCTCTCCTATGAGTCATCAGCATCTAAACTCTTCCTTTATCTAAACTAAAGCAGAGTGAAAGAGTCTTTCTCTTTCACTTTTCAAGATTAGCTTTATCTAGTTTCAAGGACAGTTGTAGAAGTTAGGCATCAGAAGACCCCATAAAAATTAATTCTGACCATTCATTTAGTTTTCTAAGCCACTTGTAGCAAATATTTTAATTTCAAAATTGTTCAAGATTTAGGCTTTTGAATCTCAAAAGTTTTAGTTTTGAAATAAAAATGATTTATTGCCTTTTGCTATGACTATTTAAATAAATACATAAACAAATAAATATATAAAGCCTCCAAAAGAATGGGAAAAAGTAAAAACCAAATCAACACCTCAAAATATTATCATGCTACATTTGTATCATACTCAATGATAGCTACCTTTTATTGGTTGCCAATCAATTGATTGTCAATTAATATTAAAAAATAGTATTACCAAATTCAAACAAAATTAAAGGTAGACTTATTTATCTTTAATTTTCCTGAGAAACATCAGGAACACTATACAGCAAAATAAAATTAATATTTTTTCAAATTCCAATGTCACTCTCCCCTTTATGTTTTAGATGTTCAGACTAATTGAAAAAACTCCCTGGAGCTTTGAGTTGGTTAGATGTCTTTCTGTGAACTAGAAAGTAATCCACCATGGAAATTTTTCAGGTTTTCTATTAGTCAGGCTTCTTCCCAAAAGGATATAAAAACTATATCTATATCTATATCTATATATACATATAGACACCACAAGAGATATCCTGTATTTCAGACATAGTCTTCCTTACCTACAGGTTCTTGTGTGTCAGTTAACACCAAGGTCAAAGTGAGAATTTCAGGTCACATGGTAACTTGGTGGCCTTTGATTCAGCATTCAGTCTCTAATAAGCTCCAACAGCTGGTCAAGAACTATTTCTCAAAAAGAGAACAGTTATCTTTTGAAGATGAGAGGGGTTTGCTTCATAATATGAAGAGTCATCAATATGATTCACCTATAAGTCCTGCCAAAGGCCTCTAAATGCAACCCTATTTGCTACTTCAAATACCATTAGATCCACTGGATCATACGGTCCAAGTGGCAGAGCTGTTTTCAAATAGCCTGGACCTGCTGTAGATCTTTCCCTTGTTCTGGACACCATACAATACTAGCTGCCTTTCAGGTCACTTGATAAATGGCACAACATACTCATTTACCCAGTCACCAAATTCATGGAGTGACATACCCTAATAAGGGATATGTTGCTTCCAAAATCCAAGGCGGCTTACTAAGCATAGTGCCTCGTTTTTGGTTGGAGGAAGGTCCAGGTGCATTAGCTTATCCTTCACCTTAGAAGGGCTAATTTGACATGCCCCATATCCCTGGATCCCTAGACATTTTACTACAGTAGTAGGTCCTTAAACATTTGTCAGGTCTCTTTCCCACCTTCTGACTTCAAAAACTTACCAGTAAGTTTAGAGTATTTGTTACCTCTTGATCCCTAGATTCAATCAGCTCAATTTCATCAATGTAATAGACCAAAGTGATATCCTGTGGAGAAGGAAAAAGCAATCAAAATACCTCCAAATTAAATTATGACATAGGGCTGGAGAGTTGATATATCCCTGAGGTAGGAGAATGAAAGTGTATTGTTAGTTTTGTCAGCTGAGAAGTAAACTGTTTATGTCGGACCTTATGGACAGGAATGCAGAAAAAGTGATCGAGTAAAAAATATTTGTCAGATCAATAGCTATGCACCAAGTAGCAGGGAATGTGTTAATCTGTTCAAGCAATGAAGCTACTGGAGCAGCAGCTGCAATTGGAGTCACCACTTTGTTAAGTTTACAGCAATCCACTGTCATTTTTCAAGATCTGTCTGTCTTCTCCACAGACCAAATAGGCAAGTTGAATGGAGATGTGTTAGGAGTCATCACCCTGCATCCTTCAAATTCTTGATGGTGACACTAGTCTTTGCAATTACTCCAATAATGCAGTACATATGTTTCTCAATTTATTATGGGATTACATCTTGATAAACCCATCATAAAGTTGAAAAATCATAAGTCAAACCATTGTAAATCAGGGCTGTCTGTATTACTTTTGACTTACTACTTTTCTAGGTATAGGCAATTCTAGTGGCTTCCATTTGGCCTTTCTCATCACAATAGTTCACATTCCACACATAATAGAAGCATTATGGAGAATCTGCCAGTGGCTGAGAATATTTATCCCGATTTTGCATTCTGGAGCTGGGGAAATAATCATAGGATGGGTTGAGGGACCCACTGGGCTTACTAGCACACAGACCTCGGCTAAAATGCCATTGATCACCTGATCTCCATAAGCCCTTTTTCTGACACATGAATCATAGTGACATTTTGGGTCTCCTGAAATCAACGTCACTTCAGAGCCAGTGTCCAGAAGTCCCTGAAAGTTCTGATTATCTTATTTTCCCCAAAGAACAGTTACATGGTAAAAAGCCATAGATCCTTTGTGTAAAGATTAAGATGAACACTATACATTTTTGATAGTGTACCATGGAGTTCTTCTTCAAGGAGATCCAGCATCTCTTTCATTCAGTAAGTCTGGGTCTATAAACTGGTTCAAATCTGGGAATTGATTAAGGGTCCATTACTATTTGCTTTTATGATTCAGGTTAAATTTTGTTCACTTAACCTAGAACTTTTCTGCTGATATGGATCCAATAAGAATTTAGTAGGCTCCCTATTTCACTTCTAACAACACCATGGTTAACTAGTCAGTGCCACAGATCTGCACAGGATAGATTATTCTGATTGCTGCTTTGATTCTGCTGTTCCTTACAGTAACCACGCCCACCTTGCTTTTGGCAGTCTAGTAGCACCAATTGGCTGCTGTCACCATGGTAACCAATTACTCTCATTGCATTTAGGCTTCCCAATTCTGTGGCTGCAGTTCTCACTGTAAGATTTGGCTTGCAGAGAAGTGTGATTACACAGCTCTTCAGGAATGCCACGGTTTCCCTCACAAATTTATTTTTTACAGTATACTTATGTTTTATGGACCCTCTCAGGATTAATGAGTAGGTCTTAAATGACAAATGCACTCTAACATTCTAATTTCCCTAAGCCTCTGAATCCCTTTCTCTATACACAAATCAAGGAAGGTCTGGCATTTCTAATTTGCTCACTTTAGGCCACATTTTGGTCCATGTTTCAACCAGCCAACAAACCAAACGGAGCTCTTCCTAAGTCCCTGAGCTGTAACATTAAATGCAGAATATCTGCTTAGTGAACCTTTATCAATAAATTTGTCTTGGCTTTATGTTCTTTCCATCATCATCCAACATCTTTATTGTCTGTTCTCACACATGTTCCCTAGATTTTTGTCTCTATAAGTTAGAAAACTCAAAAAGCTCTTTTTGAGTATAGTGCACCTCCTCATCTGTCACAGCTTGGGCCTCACTTTTAGGGGCCTGGTGGAACTTGAGTCTGGTTATATGTTTAGAAGAAAAAAGGGCTTGTGGTGTGGGCCCTGAGAAGAATCAGCACGGCCTGGCATAACAAAAGCCTTGGGGAAGGCCATTATAGCTTTCTCCGGTAATGCAGGGTTAAACTCCTCAGACAAGTGTAGAGAGGCTAATACCACTGAAAATGGAGAGGCATCTTATACTGTGGGTGGGGAGGTTACTTCAAAAGTAAGGTTCAGGTGCAACAGTTTGTCCTCATTAGGTAAAGAAGACTCATCAGAATTTAGGGGTTCAATGTCCTCAGTTCTATCAGGGCTTTTCCACACATCCCCATTTCAATTTACTACATCCTATTCCTTTCCAATCAATGCCCTCGTTTTAACAGTAGATACCCTGTGAGGATAGGATACCCTGTGAGGCTGTATTGAAATTCAGCCAGTGGAAGGATAAGAGTCTGTGTTGAATTTTCAGCAGTCTCATCCCTGTTGCTAAAAGAGATATATGTCTCTTTCAGGGCACAGATAGAAACTTTTAGGTCATTTATGAAGTACTTGCACTGGGAAGGTGAATCCCTGAATTCATCCTTTTTTGTCATCACTTTGTCCAGTGACATTAGGGGCCCCTGATAACCTCATTATATTCATTAGTTTTTCAAAAATTTCTAAAGCATAAGACACATAGTCACCCAGCTCCTTGCTTCTTATAAGTGGTTGATTAAGAGATCCAATAGAGATGTTTTGTGTATCTCCATTGCCAGGTTCCACCATGGAAAATTGGTGCTCTCTTTACTATTAGAAATAGAATTATTAGCATCTATAAGTACAATTAGATTATTAACTCAATTTCAGAAATCCCAGAACTAATCCAGAAAAATCATCCTTAAAATCTGTTCCTCTAGAATCACTCTCTGTTACAAAACCTGTATTAATTAGTGTTCTCCGGAATGACAGAACCAAAATGAATAAGTTTGTTATAAGAAATTAGCTCATGCAATTATGGAAACTGAGATGTCCCGTAATTGAGTATCTGAAAGCTAGGGACCCAGGGAAACTAGTGATTTGTTAAACTCAGTCCATCCAGGGATTTGATGATGACCCCACATTGGGGAGGGCAATCTGCTTTACTCAGTCTACTGATTTAAATGCTATTCTCATCCAGAAATATCCTCACAAATACACCCAGAAATAATGTTTTATTAAATACCTGGGCATCTCATTGTTCAATCAAGTTGGCAGTTAAAATTAACCATCATGTACTTTAAATAATAGTGTAGATGTAAGAAATTAATATTTTCCCATTTTGATAGGTCAAGACCAAAATCAGTCATAGATAATAAAGATGTAATTTTCTTATATAGTTTTCTTCTTTGTTTGCTATATATAAGCTCCATTTTAAAACTAGCCTACTTGTGACCAGGTATATTTGATAAAGTGAACCCTTAATCGAGTCTTTAATCATATCTAGGTAACCTTAAGAAGAATTCTCAACATCTTATTCTGGTTTATAATGGTCTCCATGATATTCTCCAGCCTCATTGGCTACTCTTCTTTTTTCTACCTTCCAACTGCCAGCAAACATTCTACATTTGGGTGTCTTCAGTTTCCTTCATCTGCCACAAATTTGATTACTCCTGAGTCTTAGAACCTGCTATTTTTTTCTAACTGGAATTCTTCTTTTTTTGTTTACCTTACCTTCTTTATAAAAATATATCTGTGCTGAAGCCTCACCTAACTATTTCAAAACCAGTATTCACATTCTTATTTACTTGTCATTTCCTCTAGGAAGCCTACTGATTACCAAGTATCTATGTAGTACCATACATTTTCTACATTATAAGATTTATTTTATTCTATGGTCCTCATTTTAAAAAATATGTACATATATATATTTCAAATAGCTTTGTTGAGGTATAATTTACAGACTACATAATACTACCATTTATTTATTTTTGTTTTCTTTTCAGCTTTTATTTTAGTATCAGTGGGTACATGTGCAGCCTTGTTACAAAACTATATTGTGGCATGGTGAATCTTGGAGTATAAATGAATCCAACACTTTGGTAGTAAGCATAGTACCCTGCATGTAGTTTTTCAGTGCTTGTCCCATTCTCTCCCTCACATCTCTTATTCTATCTTTATGTCCATGTATACCCAAAATTTTGGTCCTACTTGTAAGTGAGGACATGAGATATTTGGTTTCCTGTTTCCACATTACTTTGCTTAAGGAAATAGCCTCCAGGTACCTCCATGTTGCTGCAAAGGACATGATTTTATTCTTTTTTATGGCTGTGTAGTATTCCATGATGTATATGTGCCACATTTTCTCAATCCAGTCCACTGGTGATGGGCACCTTGGTTGATTCCATGTCTTTGCTATTGTAAATAGTGCTGTGATGAACATATGGGCACGTGTCTTTTTTGGTAGAATAAGTTATTTTCCTTTGGGTATATGCTTAGTAAGGGGACTCCTGGATTGAATAGTAGTTCAACTCTTAGTTCCTTGGGAAATTTTCAAAATGCTCTCCACAGTTGCTGAACTAATTCACATTCTCATTGACAGTGTATAAGTGTTTCCTTTTCTTCACAGCCTCACAAACATCTGTTATTTTTGACTGTTTAACAAAACACACTCTGACTGATGTGAGATGGTATCTTATTGTGGGTTTGATTTTCATTTCTCTGATGATTAGTGATGAGCATTTTTTTGTATTTTTGTTGGTCACTTGTATGTTTTCTTTTGAGAAATGCCTGTTCATGTCATTTGCTCATTTTTAAATGGAGTTATTTTTTGCTTGTTGATTTAAGTACAATTCGTTGGTTTTAGTATGTTCACAAATCATTACCACAATTAATTTTTATGTAAGTGTTCTGAGCACATTTAATGTAAGCTAGGCTAAGCTATGATGTTCAATAGATTAGACGTATTAAATAGATTTTTGACATATTTTCAACTTACAAATGGTTTATCAGGACATAATCCCATTGTAAGTTAAGGAACATCTGTACAATTCTAAAATTTATGTGGATATGCAAAAAAAGAAGAAAAAAGCAAACAAACAAAAATCCCAAACAATTTTGAAAAAGAAAACCTAATATGGGTGGCTAAAACTACCTGATTTCAACACTTATTATAGGCCTGGCATGGTGGCTCATGACTTTGGTAATCCCAGAACTTTGGGAGGCTGAGGTGGGTGGATCGCCTGAGCTAAGGAGTTCAAGTATAGCCTAGGCAACACAAAAAAACCCCGTCTCCACAAAAAATACAAAAATTAGCCATGGTGGCATATGCCTTTGGTACTAGCTACTGGAGAAGCTGAGGTGGGAAGCTTGGAAGGTTGAGGCTTCAGTGAGCCAAAATTGCACCACTGCACTCCAGCCTGGGTGACAGAGTGAGAGCCTGAGACCCTGTCTCTTTAAAAAAAGGCATTTATTATAATGCTTAACTTTATCATAAAACTGTGACACTGGCCAAACTATAGACAAAAATATCAATGGAACAGAATACAGTGTTTAGAAATAGACTTATACATGTATAGAAAATTGATTTTTGAAAAAAGTGCAAAGACAGATTCATGGGGAAAGGATAGACTTTCAACAAATAGTATTGGAGCAGGCCTGTAATCCCAGCCCTTTTGGAGGGCAAGGTGGGCAGATCACTTAAGTCCAGGAGTTTGAGACCGGCCTGGCCAACATAGTGAAACCCCATCTCTACAAAAAAATAATAAAAAATGAGCCAGGTGTGGTGGTACATAGCTGTTGTCCCAGCTATTCAGAGGCTGAGGTGGGAGGATCACCTGAGCCCAAGAGGCGGAGGTTGCAGTGAGCCAAGATTGTGCCCCTGCACTCCAGGCTGGGTAACAAAGCCAGACCCTGTCTTTAAAAAAAAAAAAAAAAAAAAAAAAGGGACTGGAGGAGCTGGGTATCCAACTCCTTCCCACCAAATAAATTTTTCTACTTTGCAACAAATACAAAAATGAACTAAAATGTATTATTGATCAAATGCAAAATCTAAAACTGTAAAACATCTAGAAAAAAATAATTGTGACCTTGTATTGGGCAAAAATTTAGTGATATGATGCCAAAAGTATAATCCAAAGAGAAAAATGGTTAAATTTAACTTTATTGAAATTTAAAACTTCTGATTTTTGAAAGGGCTTGTTAAAGGGATGAAAATACAAGCCATAGACTGGGACAAATGTATGACATATAAAAAATTCTCAAAATGTAATAAGAAAACAAAGAACCTAAATTTAAAAAATGGACAAACTATTCAAACACTTTACCCAAGAATCTCAAGAATGATGCTCAGCGTTATTAGTTATAATAAAAATACAAATTTAAATCACACTTATAAACCACTACAGACCTATTAGAATGGCTAGAATTTTAAAAGACTGACTGTGTCAAGTGTTGGTCAGATTGTGGAACATTTAGAAATCTCATACACTGTTTATGAAAAGGTAAGTTGGTATGACCACTTTGGAAAATACACTGACAATGCTTTTTTTTTTTTTTTAAGTTAAACCTACAACTATCGTACTATTCAGCCATTCCAATACTAGATATTTGCTCATGAGACATGACAGCATATGTTCATACAAGGCATGTGCATTATATTCACAGCAGCTTTATTTGTAATAACGCAAAGCAAGAAAATGCGCTGTCCATAAACAGGCAAATGGATACATAAATTTTAATATATTCATGCAATTGATTTCTAATCAGAAATAAAACAAATAAACTATTGATCAAATGGATGCATAATCTAAAAATAAGTATGCTGAATGACAAAAGGCAGCCCTTCCTCTAAAAAATACATGTGTATGATTCCATTGATATAAATGCTATAAAATGCAAACTAATCTTTACAGAGAAAAAAACTTGACACATAATATTTTCTTCAAAGTTTATAGCCATTTAGTACTTCTGTTTTCCAAAACATTTTTTGTATATAACCACATATATCTGAATAACTATGGATACAATTAATACTTTGAAATGTGTTTAGCCAATACTTTTAAACTCCATTTGGCAAAATTTTTTTTTTCAAAAATGTTTTTCAACTATATAGTAATTGGATGGTGTCATCCCAGGGTGTTTCAGAGCTTTTATGACTCTTTGATACCTCTTCTGAAGTTTTTGGTAAGTTCTTCTGAGCAGTAGATAAAAGAAGAGGACATAAAGGAGACCATATTGAAGCACTAACATTATGGAACAGGAGTTTGAGTTATTTGAAGATTAAAACAGGTGGGGAAAAGAATGAAAATACCCTCATAAATATATTCCCTAGTCAAAAGCAGTCAGTCTAAAAAAAAGCACGCATGAAAGCCTGTGTGATTTCTAGTACTCTTAGCATCTGTTGATACTACTGGTTGGAACAGACAAGCATTGTTATTTCCATAATGATGATTATTGAATGTGGGCATGACCATAAGGCAAGTTATTGGACCAATGAACAGGTACACACAGGAGACATTTTAAAGTTTATTTCTCTGTAACATACAACCAATTTATAGGCTTTAAACTGCAAAGGACTTGTTCAGAGTCCAATAATATTCACTGCGTAAAACATCAAAACAATATACGGTTGTCAAAGCAGCCATTTATAGTAGCAGAGAGTGAATGAGTGTGGCATGTATTAGCTTTTTATGAATATAGTGATGCTTATATATTTTTTATATTTTTCACTGAATTTAAGGCTGCCCTATTTAGATCTTAGTCTTTTGCTTTGTGCATTACGTGTTAGAAGCACATTCTTAATTCTGACTAGTGAAATAGAAAATTGAATAACAAAAAAAGGATATGAGGCCGGCGCGGTGGCTTGCGCCTGTAATCCCAGCACTTTGGGAGGCCGAGGCTGGCAGATCACGAGGTCAGGAGATCGAGACCATCCTGGCTAATACAGTGAAACCCCGTCTCTACTAAAAATACAAAAAAATTAGCCGGGCGTGGGGGTGGGCGCCTGTAGTCCCAGCTACTTGGGAGGCTGAGGCAGGAGAATGGCGTGAACCCGGGAGGTGGAGCTTGCATTGAGCCAAGATCGCACCACACACTCCAGCCTGGGCGACAAAGCCAGACTCCGTCTCAAAAAAAAAAAAAAAAAAAAAAGGACATGAACTTTAAAAGGTTGCTATGATAGAAGAAAAACACATACAATGACAAAAATAACAATAATTGATAAATATTAAGGAATTCTCAGTAACAATGATTCTATCTGGTAATTTCAAACAAAGGAGCTAAGGAGAAAATATCGTTAGTGCATTAAACGTGATGTCAGGAAATTATTCAGGCATTTTACAAGACCAGAAAGGCTATTTTCACCTAGTCACTTAAGCATTATCTGTTCTGGACCTAGATTCATATTGTATTTTTATGAGGCTAATTATGTACTAGGCATTCTATAACGTGTCTACTTCTTTCTTTGTACTTCTAATCCTTCTTTTATGATTTAAAAATATGATCTTTCTTTCATAATGAGACTAGTTGCTTTGTTCTGTATTTCCTTTTCAGATTCTCTGCCTTCTCTCTCCCTTTCCTGATTCCTATTTTATTTATCCTATAAGATAGTTTGATACACAGTTTATCATTTTTACCCCACACCCA